>NC_000011.10:40666060-40969090 GCF_000001405.40 Homo sapiens | reverse complement strand
ATGTTGATATTTTGACCTCTTTTCATGAATCATGAATGTTCTTAATGGCATCTGGAATGCTGAGTACTTTCCCGAAGATTTTCAGTGTGCTCTCCCAAGATCCATTAAAGAAATCACTACCTGTGGCAGCTATATTCCTATACAATGTGTTTCTTAAATAAAACGTCTTGGCAGTCAAAACAACTCCTTGTTCCATAAGCTACAGAATGAATGTTGTGTTAGGAGACACAAAAAATAACAGTAATCTCCTTGTACATCTCCATCAGAGATTTTGGGTGAATAGGTGCACTGTCAATGAAAAGTAATATTTTGAAGGGATTCATTTTTTTTCTAAACAGTAGGTCTCAAAAGTGGGCTTAAAATATTCCATAAACCATGCTGTAAACAGATGTACTCTCATCCAAGCTTTGTTGTTCCATTTATAAAACACAAGCAGAGTAGTTTTAACATAATTTGTAAGGGTTCTAAAATTTTCAGAGTTGTAAATGAGCATTAGCTTCATCATAAAGCCACCAGTTTTATTGGCCCCTAATAGGAGAGTCAGACTGCTCTTTGAAGTTTTAAAGCCAGGCATTGAATTCTCCAAATTAGCTATGAAACTCCTAAACATCATATCATTCCAACATAGTCATTTTTTTCTACATTTAAACTTTGTTTTATAGCATATCCACCTTCATCAATTATCTTAGCCAGATCTTCTGGATAACTTGCCACAGCTTCTACATTAGCGCTTGCTGCTTCATTTTATGCTTTTGTGATACAGAAATAGCTTCTTTCACTCAGCCTGGTGAACCAACCTCTGCTAGCTTCCTATTTTTCTTCTGCAGCTTCTTCAACTCTCTTAGTCTTTATAGAATTGAAGAAATTAGGGCCTTCCTCTGGGCTAAGCTTTGGCTTAAGAAAATATTGTGGCTGGGTTTAATCTTCCATCTAGACCATGAAAACTTTCTCAATATCAGCAATAAGCCTATGTCACTTTCTTATGGTATGTTTACTGAAGTGGCACTTTTAATTTCCTTCAAAACTTTTCCTTTGAGTTCACCACTTGACTAACTGTTTTGCACAAGAGGCCTAGCTTTTGACCTTTCAACATCCCTTTCTTACTAAGCTTAATCTTTCTACCTTTGGATTTAAAGTGAGATATGTGTTTTTTTCTTACACTGGAACACTAGTAAGCGATTGGTAGCTTATTAATTGGTCTCATTTTAATATTGTTGAAATTAGGCAATACTTATTTCAATATTTAAATTATCATATATTATTAAAATATTTTAATATCAAAAATATTGAATAATTATTGAAATCTTATTTCAATATTGAAATTAATAGAAGACAGAGAAAGATGGCATAACAGCTGGTTAATGGAGTTGAGTAGTCAGAACACAAAACTTTTTCATTAAGTTTTCTGTCTTATATGGGCATGATTTGTGGTGCTACAAAACAATTAAAATAGTAACATCAGAAATCACTGACCATAGATCACTATAAGAGATATAATAAGAATGAAAACATTTGAAATATTGTGATAATTACAAAAACATGACATTGAGACATGAAGTGAGCACATAATCTTGGAAAAATGGTACTGATAGATTTGTTTGATACAGGGTTGCAAAAAGCATTCAGTTTGAAGAAAACACATTAACTGCAAAGCACAATAAAGTGAAGCACAATAAAATGAATTGTGCCTGGACATAGTAAACAAAAATGAAAGATACAAGTATGCTTATGGCTTTGGGGAAGTGTTTATGCTTTCAGAATCCTATCCCCTATTTTCAAGCCTACTATTTATTCATGCTCCTAGTTCTTTGTTTTACCACTTGCTGTCCCTTTTGCTCTGTCTTCTCTTTCCCTGACTTTCTTTCCTTTTTCCTTCTTTCTTCCTTCCTTCTTTTCTCCCTTCCTCCCTCCATCCCTTCCTTCCTTCCTTCTTTCCTTTTCTCTTTTTAAAAATAATTCCAACTTTTAAGCTCAAACTCAGATTAGCTAACTAAATTTGGTGATAAAGTGAATGATAAATGTCTTTATTTTCATGTCTGAATGTCACCTCTTTCAGGAAGCTCTCCCAGATTGCCCCTATCGTAGGTGATATCTCTACTGAATTTGTCAGAGACTTCTGTGCAACCTCATGTGGCTCTTGAGACAAGAACATGTTTTTCTTTTACTAGAACTAAATTGTGAACATTTTGAAAAGCATGACAAGGTATGACTCACATTCATCAGCAATAAAAGTGGTATCTAGGAGATGCTCTAGTCAGTGAAGGCAAGGCCATGTGTAATTGCAGTCTGGAGAAAAAGAAAGAAAAGAAAGGACAATCATGGCAGGGTATTGTGGTAGGAAAAAAGAAGCTGAGGTTTCTAAGGGACAACATCAATGAAGAGAAAAATCAAGGAAAGGAAAAGAAGAACTTGTTAATGAGGACAGAGGCATGAGGCTACCCCAGGCAGATGGTCCAGTATCTTCCATCAAGTGTGCACAGATGAAGGTGGTGTACATACCTATGCTAAGATAGGGGCTTTAGAGAAGGGAAAAAGTAGAAAGGAACTGTGACAATCCTAAAAGCAAACATTGTGATATTAAGTGCAATTTGTGAGGAGCTTAGTGCTGCTTGAGGCACAGATATCTGAAGCCTTCTCCTGTCATATAAAAGATAGGTGCCTTGGTCAGCTCACTTAGCCCCATATGTAAAAACTCCATCTTTTTCCTCTTCATTCCCCAGCAAGAACAGAACCTCAGTGGGCCAACTTGGGCTTCTCTTCCACTAAACTCACTTTCTTCAATGCCAGTCTGCATCTTAAATGACTTTCTACTTATTTTTTAAAAATGTAAAGATGCAAATGTAAAAATAGGTAAAGTGTACCTATTCTTTCATGACATGTTGCACTGTATTGATTTTGTTGAGGATGAGCCTGTAACATGCTAATGAAATTACGTCTACTCTTGATCATCTCTACTCGCAAATACTTCTATTAGATTCTACATTCATAATCTGCCCTTAAAGGGATGTGAAGGACCTCTTCAAGGAGAACTACAAACCACTGCTCAATTAAATAAAAGAGGATACAAACAAATGGAAGAACATTCCATGCTCATGGGTAGGAAGAATCAATATCATGAAAATGGCCATACTGCCCAAGGTAATTTATAGATTCAAGGACATCCCCATCAAGCTACCAATGACTTTCTTCACAGAATTGGAAAAAACTACTTTAAAATTCATATGGAACCAAAAAAGAGCCCGCATCACCAAGTCAATCCTAAGCCAAAAGAACAAAGTTGGAGGCATCACGCTACCTGACTTCAAACTATACTCCAAGGCTACAGTAACCAAAACAGCATGGTCCTGGTACCAAAACAGAGATATAGACCAATGGAACAGAACAGAACCCTCATAAATAATGCCATATGTCTACACCTATCTGATCTTTGACAAATCTGACAAAAACAAGCAATGGGGAAAGGATTCCCTATTTAATAAATGGTGCTGGGAAAACTGGCTAGCCATATGTGGAAAGCTGAAACTGGATCCCTTCCTTACACCTTATACAAAAATTAATTCAAGATGCATTAAAGACTTAAATGTCAGACCTCAAACCATAAAAACCCTAGAAGAAAACCTAAGCAATACCATTCAGGACATAGGCATGGACAAGGACTTCATGTCTAAAACACCAAAAGCAATGGCAACAAAAGCCAAAATTGACAAATGGGACCTCATTAAACTAAAGAGCTTCTGCACAGCAAAAGAAACCACCATCAGAGTGAACAGGCAACCTACAGAATGGGAGAAAATTTTTGTAACCTACTAATCTGACAAAGGGCTAATATCCAGAATCTACAATGAACTCAAACAAATTTACAAGAAAAAACAAAAAACCCATCAAAAAGTGGGCGAAGGATATGAACAGACACTTCTCAAAAGAAGACATTTATGCAGCCAAAAAACACATGAAAAATGCTCATCATCACTGGCCATCAGAGAAATGCAAATCAAAACCACAATGAGATACCATCTCACACCAGTTAGAATGGCAATCATTAAAAAGTCAGGAAACAACAGGTGCTGGAGAGGGTGTGGAGAAATAGGAACAATTTTACACTGTTGGTGGGACTGTAAACTAGTTCAATCATTGTGGAAGTCAGTGTGGTGATTCCTCAGGGATCTAGAACTAGAAATACCATTTGACCCAGCCATCCTATTACTGGGTATATACCCAAAGGATTATAAATCATGCTGCTATAAAGACACATGCACACGCATGTTTATTGTGGCACTATTCACAATAGCAAAGACTTGGAACCAACCCAAATGTCCAACAATGATAGACTGGATTAAGAAAATGTGGCACATATACACCATGGAATACTATGCAGCCATAAAAAAGGATGAGTTCATGTCCTTTGTAGGGACATGGATGAAACTGGAAACCATCATTCTTAGCAAACTATCACAAGGACAAAAAACCAAACACCGCATATTCTCACTCATAAGTGGGAATTGAACAATGAGAACACATGGACCCAGGAAAGGGAACATCACACACTGAGGACTATTGTGGGGTGGGGGGAGGGGGAAGGGATAGCATTAGGAGATATACCTAATGCTAAATGACGAGTTAATGGGTGCAGCACACCAACATGGCATATGTTTACATATGTAACAAACCTGCACGTTGTGCACATGTAGCCTAAAACTTAACGTATAATAACAATAAAATTAAAAAAAAACTACCCTTAAAGCAAATTCAATGTCTGTTTTTATTTTCTTTCTTTTTGCTTTATTTGTTTTGTTTGACTTGGGTTTTTTTCTGCCACTTGCAGCTTTTCAGCGTGATGTCTGATATAAATCAATGATAAAAATAATATCTAACACATAAGGTGTCTTGGCCATGCATCAGGCTCTGTTGCAAGGGTTTCACCTGTATAATCTCTATGGATCCTCACAACCTTTCTATGAGGTTCATACTATTGTTATGCTGGTTTGATAGATGAAGAAACTGCGGCACATTGAGAAATAGCAGCAGGTATTTGTAAGAGCTCTTATTGGCAGGTGGGAAAAAAAAACAAGGCATAGAGAGGTCAAATAATGATCCAAGACCACCTACCGAGATGTGGAGCTCAGGTTTAAACCAAATGTTTCTCATTCATAGATTTTTAAAGATTGCCCAAATATTGGCATTTCTGCATTTTGCAGTAGTAAAACTAAGAAGACATTGCCAGCAAATTACTCAAAGGCAAAGAACCTGCATATGTCTAAATAAGGTCAAACACTTAAATCGTTATTTGAGTGTGTGGTTCTATTTGAAAGATGCCCCATCTCTATCCCAATATTTACTGAATAAACAAAAGATGATTCTGAGATATAGTATTTGATTTGATTGATTCCTGCCTGGGTGCTTTTTGGTAGGAGAGCTATATTATTTTAAACTAAAGTTCAATGCTAAAGGAGGAATTACTGTTTGTATATTAATAATAGACCCACAGAAAAATAATTCTTTACAGGCTACAAAGCATCTTATGTCATCTTCTATGATTCTTTGAGCTATAT
Source organism: Homo sapiens (assembly GCF_000001405.40). Taxonomy (NCBI): domain Eukaryota; kingdom Metazoa; phylum Chordata; class Mammalia; order Primates; family Hominidae; genus Homo; species Homo sapiens. The sequence goes on along the minus strand of NC_000011.10, from coordinate 40,963,541 downwards.
TGTAAGGCAGTCAGGGGAAGCATTGTTGTTGAAATTCAAAGCTCATCTCCTCTACTTAATGTGTGACTTTGGGAAGTTGTTTAATTTATTTGTGAATCAATAGAATAGTCACATTGATGTTTAAAACAATTTATCCCATGTTGATTTATATACCATTGATGAGACTTATTTGAGGAATTAAGTTCATATGTGTAGCCAAAGCTCAGTACATACTCAGTCTGGAACTTCACAGCACTTGCCAAATAGTGTAAAATGGAAAGATATAACTAATGTTCGCTGTAATAGCATTGCATTGTATTAAAAATTATTTAGGTACTCTATGAGTGGTGTTATGTTAACATAGCAGGAAATTTCATAATTTTTATAACAATTAAAGTGGTTGTAATAAAAATAATAGTGTGCACTTGAAAAGTTAACCTTCCTTTAAGTCCAAAGACTGCAATCTGATCACTCCAGACAACTCCAATATCAAGTTTTTACTTTTGTAAAACTGTCTATAGGCACTTACTCCTTATCAAACATCTAAAAGCATAACCACTTCTGTATCTTCAAATAAGTCCACAGAGTTTGAATTAATAAGTCAGTTTTAATATGTTTAATTTGCTATTCAATTTGGCAAATAAGGCATTCTTCCTGCTTCCTGTCCTGTTTATCTCAAATAATATGCTTGTAGAATTGTGAGACTATTCCCAGCTTCCATCTTACAAAAGATAATTTAATTAATTTGAGAAAAGGTAATCTGCCCTAAAGTTTATGGCAACTTTTAAAAATTCAGCTGAGTGAGTTGTTCTTTTTTGGGATAGATGAGAGCATAAGTAGATCTTTCTATCTGCTGAAGATGTGAATAATATTCTACATATTTGTATATATGTTTTCAGCAGGATAAATTTCTTTTACTTTTCTAGTTTGGCTAGCATGTCTTAAGTGCTTTAACAAAGATTCGCTTGTGAAAATCATTTGCTCAAAACCACACTGAAAAGCAGCCTTATTGATTTTATCCGTATTTAAGTTCCCTGCCCTAGCTGAAGATAGTTATTTATTACAATACGTTATTATTCTGGTTACACTAAATCCTAGACCAGGGATCACAAACTTTTTCAGCAGTGCTGTGTATCAGTTTCCTATTTCTGTTGTAACTCACAAATGTAGTGGCTTCAAGCAATACCAATTTACTGCCTTACAGTTTTGGAGCTCGGAAGTCTGAAACCAAGATGTGAGCAGGCCTGCTTTCCTTCTAAATGATGAAGGGGAGAATCTATTTTCTCACCTCTAGAACCTCCCTCCATTGCTTGATTCATGGTCCCTTCCTCGATCTTCAAAGCTCACAGCATAGCCCCTTTTTTTCTCTCTGATTTCTGCTTTCATCCTTGTATCTCTCTCTGATGCGGGTGCCCTTGTTATCTTAATCACATCTGAAAGGTCTTTTTTACCATATAAACTAACATATTGACAGGTCTGGGGCATCAGGACATGGATTATCTTTGAGGGGCCATTATTCCGCTTCTTACAGGCCAGAGTGTAAATATTTTAGACCTTGGAGATCAGTCAGTTTCTGGGTCATTCATAAATAATGGGTATGGCTGTGCTCCTATAAAAATATATTTCCAAAAAGAGGAAACTGTCAAAATTTGGCCCATGGGCTATAATTTAACACCCCCTACCCTAAACACACAGCATCTGGTGTGGAGGTTTCTCAAAGGTTTTTTTAAAATGAATGGATGGATAAATTAAATGAATAAAATAGACAAGCGTTTAGAGGAAGTTCTTATAGATTTTTTGATTTTGTTGTTCTAAGGAGAAACCCTGAGAGAACAGAAATTTCCCCCACTCATTCTTTACACAACTCTTCAATCCTGACCATTATATGTGATGAACTTTCGTGCTGAAAGTCTTTCCTCTTGTCGTAGACCTTGTATAGACACACTTATGCAAATGAAACCCTGAAAATCATTATTAACTTCCTTTTTATTCCCCATATAATCTATAGCTATTTTGAAACTATTAACATCTGCTGCTATAAAACCAGTTATGCATATTTTAAAAGTCATGAAAGACACAGGTAGGAAAACATAGAACTGATATTGGGAAGTTTGCAATACTTTTATTTCAGGGACTCTGAAGCCTAAGAGAGATTGGAACACAGAGCACAGACACCAAGGAGGCAAGTGTTTGTAGCCCTTCTTGCTTCCTGGTAACAAAATGGAGCCTCAATGTTTCAGGCAAAATAGAACAACTCTGTCACCTGTGCTAATCATCTTTTGATCCTTGCCATGTGAATAGACTCATGATCTGACATTTGCTATTCTAGTCACAATAGCTCTTGTCTCAGAAATTCAATTTTCAGTGCCTCATGGATTTAATACCTGATCTATTATCAGAAGATTTGTAATAACTTATACAGCTGAACCTTTTCCAAATTTCCTGTTCATCTTAACCTTTCCACCCTTCCATCTTGGTACAGAGGATGGCCTTGTGAAAAGGCAGGTTTAATCAACACACTTTCATCAAGCATCACTGTGTGCTAGAGTTATAGTGTGACCAAGACACAAGATCTCAAATGTGTCAGAGACCTGACAGCTTCAGCTGGATTTAGGCAGGAAAATAAAAAGCAATAAGCAAAGACCATGGATATGACCTGAGCTGTTCGTGGAACTTCCCTGGTGGAAAGTGTCATTATATGCCTTTGGCTTGACTTGCTGAAGCAGTTTTTAATCATAGCAGCACCCACTGACAGCCTTTGGCAAACTCCCCTTCTCTTTCTCTTTTAATTTCTATGCTTCTTTGGAATAAACAGCCAAGTTTCAGAATCTATTTCTCAACATTTTGTAGACAACTAAGATATACCTTGAGCCCAGTAAATATATACAAATTATCTGGCTTGGATGACCAACATGTTTAGTTTTCTTCTGTGCTAGAACATAGTCTAGCAGGCATATTTGCCAGAAGTATAAAACTTAATTTCCAGTAAGAACTGAGATACAGTCAATCATCTTGTGTATGCAGAGGTCACACTATGTTCTCAGTCCCATAAAATAATAACCCATGGGCTTTCCCACAGAATTGTTTGAATAGAGTTAAACAGTAATCATAGAAACTCAATTTAGACCTTGTCTGGTTCAATGTCACTTTAGCTGGAAAACAATTAAAAGAAACTACAAAAGTAAAACAAAATAGTTATAGAATAAATACTAAGTTCAAATAATTTCTTACATATCATTGACATCTAATTATTTCTGTTTTATCTTGGTGATGTATCAAAAATCCAAATTCACACAAATTAGAAATTTGATAATGAACCTTCAAAAGACTTTATAATGCAATTTAAAAATACATTTTTATAGATACAGAATCCATCCAGAAGCTTGCATGCTTATTATAGAAATTTCCTTCCTTCCTTCCTTCCTTCCCTCCTTCCTTCCTTTTTTCTTTCTTCCCTCTTTTCCTTTTCCCTTTCATGTCCTTTTTATCTTTTGTCTGTTTTTCCTTCCTTCCTTAGTTCTTTCTTTGATTTGATATATCTTTATCAATTGACTGTTCTGCTCCAGCCATTGTTAATAATTTAAAGTAGAATTACTATCATCTAACATTGTACAATTACTTGCATTCCTTATTGAAAATAAAAATTTACAAAAGCATCTAAATCCTAAAATGTAGCCTCAAATGTTGATAATACAATACCACTGTGGGTTTTTGTTGGGTGTTGAGCTTGTTTTTGCATAACTGACTGCGATGCCATTAAAAGAGCAATCACTGAGCAAATGTGCTTAAACCTTCTCAGCATTTGATTGAACATGACACACTTTTGCTAGAGCACTGTGCTCACTCATATAATTTTATGTGAACAGACTTGCTCAGGAATAAATTTAAAAATAGAGAAAATGGAAGGGCAATAATCTGGGAAATTGGAAACACCTTTAATAAAATGTTTAAATATAAACATAGAAATAGCAGGAGTCATTTAGTATAAAGTCTTACATGTGTACTTAACCACAAACTTAATGCAAAATTAATATATTGATGGTTTCCATCATGTTAACATTTTGGCATTAAATATAATTATGTCCATTGATACGCAATACATTTTTATGCTGCATATTATAATAAAAATGGATTTTTTTTTGTTAGGTTGGCCAAGTGTCTTGGTTTGCCAGGAACTTGGGGAAAGGGATTGTTCCAGGGACATGGAACTTTCCGTAATAAACCTGGAATATTCTGGACAAACTAGGATGTCTTGCTTATCATAGCTATATCTCTAAATTAGGTAATTCTATGAGACACAATTTTATAAACCACTGTGTTGAGTTCTGTTTCTTTATTGATGGTATACTTAACTGCAATGAGCTCACCTAATCTGGTGGGTTTCAATTCTAGGCTATGCATTAGAGTCATCTCGAGAGGCTTCTCAAAGTATTGATGATTGAGCACATCTAAAACCAACTACATCAGCCTCTCAATACATTTTCAAAGCTTCTTAGTGATTCTAATATAAAGCAGAACCAAGAACCACTGCTCCTGGGCTGCTCTGAACTCCATTCCACACCAATCAGGTTCAGTCTGGCTCCAGTTAGCAGGCAGAACACCACCAGAATAAAGAAATAATTCCTGCCTAAGGATGACTAGATCTAATCTTCTTGAGACATTTGTTGGAACTTGCCCAGCAGTGACATGTTAGGTGGATACAGGCCCTGGTTTTCTTTATGAATCCTGATAGCTCCTCTTCCTGTTGTAATCCTGTATGTTTAAATGAGATCTGAATTCTGCAAACTATTCTATAAAGCAAGAATTCAAGATTTGAGATTTCAAGAATTAAAAGAATTAGACTAAATGCTTTTAGAGAACAGTTTATAGACATATTTAGCTCTATAACTGCTGATGTCACACACACATTCTATTTATTTGTTGAATCATAGAAAATTACATTTTACAATTTTCCTTAATCAAAGAAATGAGGAGCTTCATCCAAGGAGTTTATGCGCTTACCCAACATTAGTCAAATGTTGATTATCATGTTCTATTTAGTCCCATGTTCATGGAATACTCAAACTTATAGGGACTATTAAAAATATAAGGCAATTATCTTAAAGTGAAAATCAGTATTTGTCAATGTATGTCTTTATGATTATTATCAAATTTCTGTAGTAAAAATTATGTAACAGAAACTCTTCTAAACACATATAATTTACATTCATTTTGTGCTTGCTACAAGCTTATAACTTAGGTCATATTGTCATCATCCCTATTTTACAGTTGAAAAAAGTGAGAGCATAAAGAAGTTAATTAAATTGCCAGACTACTGTCTTAGTTTGTTTGAGCTGCTGTAACAAAATACCACAAGCTGAGTGGCTCATAAGCAACAGATAGTTATTTCTCCCAGTTCTAGAATCTAGGATTCTATTATTGAGGTGCCTGGCAGATTCAGTGTGTGGTGAGGGCCTGCTTCTTGGTTCATAGCTGGCTGTCTTCTCACTGTGTCTTCATTTGGTAGAAGGGATGAGCTAGCTGGGATCCCTTTTATAAAGGCACAAATCCCAATCATGAAGCCTCCACCCTTAGGACGTAATCACCTCCAAAGACCCCACCTCCTAATAGTATCACCTTGGGGATTAGGATTTCAACATTTGAATTGGAAAGGGGGGAGGTTCACAAACATTCAGACCATAGCAGCCACAAAGCTAGAAACTGGAAGGGCTGGATTTTAATTACTCCTTAATACTACTTCCTATCAGAATGGAAATTGGCAGAAATCTGCATTGGAAACCCCTCATCCCCCAGTAGATTTGCATAAGGGAAGGAATCCAGCCATCACACACTCTTCTCAACTAGGTTTAAAGAGACTCCTTGATAGGAGCAATGGATATAAGCCTAGACTTCAGCACTTATGCTGTATAATTTCTAGTACCATCTCTTTTGTCCCATTATATGCAGAAAACCATAGTTCGTTTAGTGTGGAAGGACTCTTGTACATAATACAGCTCTGACTCCTCATTTACAGGATGAGAGAACAGATCTTTAAGTAATGTTGAACATAGTTCAGAAAATACAGCTATTATGAACCTTGAAAAAGAGAATCAAAAAGAGGGAGACAGTGGGTGATGGAAAGAGAGAAATAGAGAGATATATCTGTAAAACACATGGCTTAAAGTGTCCTGATTGGATAAACTTAGTAAGAGTTGGATCTCATCTTCCTCTCTTCAGTGTACCTAAAGAACTTAGTGGCCACAGAAATGTTTTACCTGTGATACTAGCCCGCCTGTCACCTACAATTGCTAAGCGACTTGCACCTTATTTTATAGTCCTTTTCTAGCTCCTACATCTACTTCTTGCAAAACCTTTTAGAAAAAGAATGTACTTCCACTACTTGCCTTAAGAAAAATAAAACATGCTACAGTTTCTGTCTTGAGATTTGCCAAAAATGTCAAGTGTCAGAACATGGTTGAGTCCCATTTATATGTAAAGAGAAGGGTCTTATTCCCGATTTTGTGACATGTTTTCTCTCCTGGGACAAAGTCATTCTGGATGTGCTCAGAATTTTCAAATCTTTACTAAACATTGCTTTCATTAAACTTTGCCTCTGAGTTCCCTTTATGCACTGGGAACCAAAAAACAAACTGAGCTATCTGGCAAGTATCCAGTTCTTTCTTCCAATTAAACTCTTCTTTTTTTTGTTTTACTTTATTCATATAACAAAATGTTCCATGCCTATGAAGAGATTTCTTAAAAATATGTCTTTGAAGTGAAGGTTGGAATGGGAGGGGGGCTAAAGAGTGTTTATATTGATGAGAGAAAGAGGGTCCTAGCCCAAAATAACTTGTTATAAGAATATTGAAATTGTGACATAGAGAAGAGATAAATCAAGATTTTTGCTGATTTTTAGGTAGACAGATGTGGGCCTATAGGGGAAGAAGTGTATTAATCTATGTTTTCTATCTTTTCAATTTATTCCAATTTCTTCTTATTTCTCACCAAAACTCCATGGGATAAGCCTAGAAAGGTAATATTATCCCCATTATACAGATGAGAAATTTAGATCCACTTACTGATCACCTCTTCCAAGAGTTCTTGGTAAATACATAGCAGATCTTGTACTAAACAGTGCCCAGTATTTCTGAATATGAAAAAGGACTGCCAGAAATTAATATTCTTTATTACAGACAGTGTCTACCAGCAAATTGCAATGCTCACTACCTAAATCACTGAGACTTAGGCAGAATGTTTGCTCGTAATTTATAAGAATTCCTTTTTAAAAGACTCTGGACAGAATGTTAGCCAGCAAATAAGTATAAGAATGTATTTTACAATCCAGGAATGAAATGAGGAATTTAGAGGGCTATTGAGTTTGCTGAATTTTCACAGCCGATCAGCACAAGGTTATTTGTTTTTGGTATCGCCGTCACTTGTGCTACCCTCAGATATACGTTGTTCCATTGCTCACTGTTCAAGAGCCCTCAACCTCGCTTTCTCATCTACAATATGGCCCTTTGTAAGTAAAGCTAACAGGAGTATATAGAAAACCAAAAAGACTGGTTGGCTTAAGGGCTCTGTCAATATGACCTTGAATTCTAATTTGAAGAAGACTGCACCCTTCGGAGAATGTGAATGAGAACAACATAGTGTCCCTATGGAACTTGATTCACTGAACAAAGCAATTTGTCTCCCATGTGTGTGGAATGTATGAGTTTTTCTATGGTGAAGCAGAAGTGTTCATCAACATTTTGTAAGGGAAGCCACAATAAAATGAAGAGCTTTCTGAGTTTCTAAGTGCTTTCCTCTATGAGTACATGTCTGCATTTTCCAAAGCAAGAGAATCTTTACTGACTTACAGTTGTCAGTTTCCTTTTCTTTTTTATAAACTCCTAATGAGGTATGATTGACAATCTGTTTTAAGTAACATTTGGAAACAGAAAGGACATTATATAGGTAAAAACAGACTCCACCTATCTCAAAATAGGATCTTGAACCCATTAATCCAGATCCTTGAATCTCTACACTAGTTTTAGATTGTAATTATGGTAGAAGAGATTATAATTAAGAAAAGGTATATTTATTTATTTGCCACTTTATATCTTCTAAAAAATAGGGTTTTTTATTTCAATTTTTGTGTTTTTCCCCCCCAGTGATGAAGAAAACAAATAAGTCACAGGACATTTTGGAGAAAGACAATTCTAAAGAAGAAAATTTTGATCACCTTTTATACTTCCTCCTATAGAATACAGAGACATTAAATGTTTAAGGCATTTTGTCCCAGTCTGTCCTTATAGCTCTCCACCTACATTCACATGTACCATTTTCTAGGTACACGTTTGTCCCCTGCTTTGAAAAATTGAATCTCTTGGGCTGTTTTTAGACCCTTGAATAGTCTTCAAAAACACAACTTCAATTAGTGTTTAATATAGACGTAGCATATATTGATATGTCATGGCAACATAACTTCTGATATAACTTCACTGGCAATTGGTTCCATTTTCTACCAAGCCCTTGTTCTGAAAAAGGAGTGAGATGATGTTTCATCTTCTAGTGTAGGTGGGGGCTGTGCAAGGAAAGCAATACAGTTTTGAGAATTGGGAAGATACAAAAGCACGAGGTGGGTCCTTGTGTTCCCAGGGTTGTCTGAGTCCAGTCTCTGGGGATCAAGATGAGGAAATGTGTACAAACCAACAGGGGCTTCTGTAATTCCTGCTGTTGTCCAAGAATGCCCTAGCCAGTCAGGACCCAAAATTACCTCCAGTGATATTTAAGCTAGAGAAGAAATTGCAAATGGTGGTGCCAAGCCACAGCCAATATTTAATTCAAAAGGCGAAACCCAGAACTACTAACCTGCCAGTGGTCTGGGATCACTCTATTATTGCATTAATCACACAATAACATGACCTGTATTTTACATAATGGAATAATTTGGGCTATTTTATGAAGATGAGGCCAGATTAACCATACTTTATATGGTCTCACTTGAATTAGAAATTAAACTTTTAAAAAGGGATGCTATGCTATTAACATTCTTATAATACCAAGAATCCAAGGTCCTAGCCCTACTCAAATAAGAGAGTGTTGTTCACTGGATACTGAGGGGAATAAATGACAGCACAGGTTGGTCTTTATGATTGGAGCCATGCAAATGCCTCAAGGCTGATTCATAGGGATTTCCAAAATATTATAGAAACAAAAATCATTATGAATTTCCAAGTCTTTTATTTACACTAATTTCCCAAATTTGTGAAAACTAGTTATCAGGAGAGGTTTCTTTGTTGTATTTTGTCTGGTAGATTTATTTATTCCAAGATTTATAAATCAACCCCTCACTTGTTTCTTGTGTTATAAAGATGGAGAGTTTACCTAATGTTACATGTTGGGGATGTTGGTGCCAGCGGATGCATAGTAGAAAATTTCTTAAACAATTGCTGGAACAAAAGCAAGAATAAAGAAAAGTTCTATGCAGTAGATGCCTTGATGAGGCTGTCTGTCTTTTGCCCTGATACTGTATGAATAGGGAACATGAAAGTTTGCTGCTTTCTCACCTGTGTTATTGGTCCTCCTTATAAATAGCATCTAGTTATGTATGTGTGGATTTCCAAGTTTTCTTTGGATGAATTTCTAAGACTCTCAATCACACTGGAGTTAAGAATTATATCATGTACACTATTATGCAGTGTTCCCCTTTTGTAATGACAAAATAAGATAAAAATATAAGAAAGTGTTTTTAAATTATTAAAACTATATGCTATGGTAGGCTGAAACTTGACTGCAGCTTTAGAACAGGAAATAATGGCATTGAAAGTGCCAAGAAGGCTTAAAGGCTGTTTTCTTCACCTGAACCTTCGCTACCCTTCATTCCTGTTCTTTATGCCACATGGTCAGAAAAATAAGTCCTTATAGGTCAATGGGTATTTTTGATGTAATGAACATCATTTAAGTATTCATAGTATCTAGTAATGTGTGCTTGGGGTTTAAAGCCTGAAGATAGATCTGTGAAATATAGTGATGCCTTTCACTAGTATAAAATTTAATCAGGGTAATATGCTTATGAAATTACATACAGCTGTGCATTCTTATTATGGTGACAAGAAGAATGATAATGCAATGTATTCAGAGGTTCAGAGAAGGTGGAGACTGTTATGAATTGGAAGGGTCAGGGAGACTTTTCTTGACAAGATGAGGTTTCACTTTGGACCTGACAGATGGGAAATCCATACCTATGTCACTGCCCACCTTCTAAAAGTCAGGAAATGAAAAACCTTGATAATAAATTGTAAAATTCTCATTGAAAAGTTATTGGCCTCTGGAATCTGCAGATCGAATAATTATTTTTTTGTATAACTCCCTTACTTTATTTCCATAGAGTTTATATTTTCTAAATAGGGTCCCTCTCGGGATAGATTTTCCATGAACAGTGTTATGAAAGTAGTATACTGTCTCAAATGTGAAACAAAAATCATTAGACGTTAAGGAAGAAACATTTTAGAGCAAACTTGTTTTCTGAGGACCTCTTTATTAGTATATTTGTATGCTCATTGGTGCTGCTACATGCAGAGCTCTCTGATTATCCTGCATTTAAGGAACTGATTTTACAACCATACAGGGGCCAAATAGGTTTCAAAGACCTGGACAAAAGAAAAGAGAGAAAGAGAGAGAGAGAGAGAGAGAGAGAGAGTGTGTGTGTGTGTGTGTGTGTGTGTGTGTGTGTGTGTGTGTGTGTGTTTGGAAATAGACAGAGGTGTGTGTGAGGGACAGGAGAGTTATTCAGTGAAGCCTTAAATAAACCAGTGATTCACAAGTACAAGAAGTTTCAGATGCCTGATTGTGATCAAGATCTGTGTGAAGAGCTGCAACAGCATTCAAGAACACTTGGATTGGAATCATGGGCAAGGATGTCTCTCCTGGAGCGTCTTGTTGGACCTCTACCCATCTGTTTGCTTCAACCAAATCATATATACATATCCAGTGGGCTTTGTATCAAGTCAGTCTCAGTAAATTATTTACATTTGCATTGCTGAAATATATTACATTTGCATTGCTTCAAATATAGCAACATCTTAATTCTAGAAAAAGTAAAGACAAGATTAAAAGGTTGAAAGCTTAGAAAAAGAGCATGCTCGACCAAAAGTGAAAAAGGGTTAGAACTTCTAAATTAGTGTCATTTCATAGAAAATGTTCAGTATAAAATTAGTAGGGGGAAAGAAGAGAAAGTTTTAAAGGTAGCTTTCGAAGCCAGCCAACCTGCTTCCTAGATTCCCAAAATAAACCCTGAAAATATTTTATTTTGGGGGAAAGTTGTGTGGCCTAAAGAGATTGGACCTTGGAGACAAAAGACTTGGGATCCATATCCCTCTTCTTTGGCTCACTAACTGTCATGTATATGCAAATTACTTAGTCACTCACATTGCTAATTTCACCATCCTTAAAATAAAAATAATAATGTTCACCTTGTAAGATGCCTTGGACAGTATGTGCATCACACACATGAATAAAATTAATAATAGCTAACTTTTCTGAGCAATTTGTGGTAAAAAAAAAATCTAATATTTCACAGATATAATAAACTTATTTAACCCTTAGAGCAAATTTTGAGATAATTATTGTACCCATTTGAACAGATTGGGCAACTGAGGCATGAAGAAATTGTCTACCCCAGGCTTATACAATCAGGATGTAACAGCCAGAATTCAATCTGAGACAGACTGATTACAGAGAATAAACTTCCAGAAACTATGTGCTACTCAATAAAAAGTGACTGACTGTATTTTATTACTCCTAGTCTTCTTGTCTTACCGAGGTATATTACATCTGATCTTCTTAATTATACCTTTCAAAATTCTTAATTCAGCATCTTCTTTTAGAATCATCACCATTTAATGATTATTTTTTAATAGAGGATTCCCTTATGATAAGACTTGGTGCATATGCTTATTATATTGTCCAAATGCTCCAGAGATTTAAAATGTAAATTAGAATATTTAAGTGCCAACATATTAATTTTTCTGTAACTCAGGGCAACAAAATTGATATCTGTACAGTTTCTGTATGCAATACAATGTGTGTAAAGTCACACTGTTGACCTACTTTCCACAAGCCTGCCTTGATGTTTAAGTCCTCACTATCTTTTTGCATCAGGAATTTTTTTTTTTAATTTTCACTCCTATTTCCCCCAACTTGCCAGATTAAACTAAGAAGCACAATAGCAGGCAGTTCACATTACACAATGTGTGTTTTGGTGTTGAACTCAATTGTCTCATTTTAGATGATATATCTCTAAGTAGTATCCATTTTTTTATTTGGAAAGAGTTTTGGAAAACAAGGCTTTCTTCTTTTATAGCTTTTAATTTGAGAATTTAGCAGAAATAACATAAAACATTTCCCCATCAAAGTTTCTAGAAAATCAGTGCAGTTTACCTTCCTGTCTTTGCCCTCCAGATTTTATTATATATTTCAATGGCCTTATTTATATGCAGAATGGTGCTGCATTATTTCCATTAGTTTATGTTGCAGCTCATATTTCACCTTATGGGAAGGATATTGGATAGTAGGAGCTTATCTGGGTGCATCGTGTACTGATTCATGTATGTATTCATCAAAAATATCACAAAGCCTTTAAAAAGAATGGAGTAGAACTGTATGTACAGACATGAAAAGATGCTCAAGATTCATATTTAGTAAAAAAAAAAAATAAGCAAGTTGGAAAATTACATATACCAGGATCAAATTTTTTATTAAAAAACACAAAGCAAAATGATTCCATATGTGTAAATGTGTCTAGAGAAAAACTCTGGAAGCATGTATCTCAAAATATTAACATTAGTTACCTCTGGGAAATAAACTTACTTGGGTATGGGGAACAATTAAGACACAATTAAGTATTATTTGTTATTTATACATTTTTGTATTGTTCTATTTTTCTCCACTATGATATCACTATGGTAATTAGAAATAAATAATTTATAGCATATTTGTTATCATAAGTTTCCATGTATACACAAAGGTCAAAGAGACATTTTTGAATTCAGTAATATTATAATCTTACAGATGGAGCAGGCAAGTGAAAATAATAATTATAATACAAAGAAAAATATGTCATCAGTTCTATAACACAGGTGCACATATATTTGAAAATTTGGGGAAAATTACATTTCATTGTGAATATGAGGGAAATAAAAATAGACAAATAGCATCTGAGTGGAAAAGTAAGGGTTTTCTAATAGCAGAGAGCATTGTTTAACTTGGAGGAATGTCTATCATTTTTCCTTCATGTTGCCAGTTTCCTAGAACATGGTAGGTGCTCAGTAGAATGGGTTGTAGAAAAAAGAAAAAAACATAATGGAATGATCTTCTGATTATAGAAGTTTAGAGCTTGGAAGGATGTAGGGGTTACCTCCTTTCATGTCAGTGCTCTTATGATTCTGAGGAGGGGTGGGTGGGACCTTGGACACCTCACTATAGTTCCACCCAGAGATGTTTTTATTTCTCTACCTCTATTACTGGAAAGTTACAGATCTGATACAACCTTTATCATTTTAGCCATGAAAAAAAATTGAGAGGTGAAAATTTTCCTCTTGCGTATGTGTGTCTCTGCATGTGAGATGGGTTTCCTGAATACAGCACACTGATGGGTCTTGACTCTTTATCCAATTTGCCAGTCTGTGTCTTTTAATTGGAGCATTTAGTCCCTTTACATTTAAAGTTAATATTGTTATGTGTGAATTTGATCCTGTCATTATGATGTTAGCTGGTTATTTTGCTCGTTAGTTGATGCAGTTTCTTCCTAGTCTCAATGGTCTTTACATTTTGGCATGATTTTGCAGCAGCTGGTACTGGTTGTTCCTTTCCATGTTTAGTGCTTCCTTCAGGAGCTCTTTTAGGGCAGGCCTGGTGGTGACAAAATCTCTCAGCATTTGCTTGTCTGTAAAGTATTTTATTTCTCCTTCAGTTATGAAGCTTAGTTTGGCTGGATATGAAATTCTGGGTTGAAAATTCTTTTCTTTAAGAATGTTGAATATTGGCCCCCACTCTCTTCTGGCTTGTAGAGTTTCTGCCGAGAGATCCGCTGTTAGTCTGATGGGCTTCCCTTTGTGGGTAACCTGACCTTTCTCTCTGGCTGCCCTTAACATTTTTTCCTTCATTTCAACTTTGGTGAATCTGACAATTATGTGTCTTGGAGTTGCTCTGACAAATGGGATCTAATTAAACTAAAGAGCTTCTGCACAGCAAAAGAAACTACCATCAGAGTGAACAGGCAACCCACAAAATGGGAGAAAATTTTAGCAACCTACTTATCTGACAAAGGGCTAATGTCCAGAATCTACAATGAACTCCAACAAATTTACAAGAAAAAAACAAACAACCCCATCAAAATGTGGGCGAAGGACATGAACAGACACTTCTCAAAAGAAGACATTTATGCAGCCAAAAAACACGTGAAAAAATGCTCACCATCACTGGCCATCAGAGAAATGCAAATCAAAACCACAATGAGATATCATCTCACACCAGTTAGAATGGCAATCATTAAAAAGTCAGGAAACAACAGGTGCTGGAGAGGATGTGGAGAAATAGGAACACTCTTACACTGTTGGTGGGACTGTAAACTAGTTCAACCATTGTGGAAGTCAGTGTGGCAATTCCTCAGGGATCTAGAACTAGAAATACCATTTGACCCAGCCATCCCATTACTGGGTATATACCCAAAGGACTATAAATCATGCTACTATAAAGACACATGCACACGTATGTTTATTGTGGCACTATTCACAATAGCAAAGACTTGGAACCAACCCAAATGTCCAACAATGATAGACTGGATTAAGAAAATGTGGCACATATACACCATGGAATACTATGCAGCCATAAAAAATGATGAGTTCATGTCCTTTGTAGGGACATGGATGAAATTGGAAATCCTCATTCTCAGTAAACTATCGCAAGAACAAAAAACCAAACACCGCATATTCTCACTCATAGGTGGGAATTGAACAATGAGAACACATGGACACAGGAAGGGGAACATCACACTCTGGGGACTGTTGTGGGGTGGGGGGAGGGGGGAGGGATAGCATTGGGAGATATACCTAATGCTAGATGACGAGTTAGTGGGTGCAGCGCACCAGCATGGCACATGTATACATATGTAACTAACCTGCACATTGTGCACATGTACACTAAAACTTAAAGTATAATAATAAAAAAGAAAAAGAGATGAATGAATAAAGAAAAACAAAGAAAATTTTCCTCTTACAGAAATAATTAGTAAAACCCACGAACTCTATGTTCTTAGGATTTCATAGTAGCATTTCTTCAATGAATATGAGTCCAGGTAAAACAGCTAGTTTGTCCAAAAATATGAAGCTTGAAATATTTTTGAATATGGAGTATATTGAGGGAGAGTAAACAACTCAGATTAAATAGAACATGTGACTTATATGGGGGAGTCATAAGAGAAAATCCAGGCTTCCTTTGAGCCATTTAAGAAGAGCAGGGAGAAGTGTACCTATCAAGAGGCTTCACTGGCGATGACTGAATTCTACTTTTCACCAAATGAAGGAAGAGATATCAGTTCTAACTTCTCGCTTGAAATAGCTGAAAAAAAATGAGGACAAAAATACTCAACACAATGGTAGTCAAGCCATTGAATATTAAATTGAGAAACACTGAGAGACAATTATGGAGGGAAACAAATGAAGACCCTACCACTGTCCCAGCTTATTGAGAGAGTTTCCAGGCCCTAGTCTGAGGACAGGGGACACAGTCAAAGAGCTGGGAGTACAGGGAGGCCACTGGGCTAGAGTTTGCAGGAGAAGGATATCAGAGAGGGGAGAGCTGCGGAGAGAAAAGAGTGAGGGGAGGTGGGGATTGAGGGAGAGTGAGAGAGAATGAGAGAAGAGCACTCCAGAGATCTGTACACGTTCCTTCTCAGCTGTTCTGGTGACCTGTGAGAATGCCTGAGGAAACTAGTATGGCTTGAGGAGAAAAACACCATAAGAAGAGAGGGGATAGTGCCCTACACTCACTCTTTGGTTAGGAAGAATTCCTATTCCCACCAGCTGGAGTAGAAAATCTCATGATTCACTAGGTAATAGGTAGCATATACAAAAAAGACTTGCCTCAGTAGAGACAAAATTAGTCCTGAAATAGGCACATCTCTGTTACCAACAAAGCTTAAAAGCAAGACCTGAAAGGATCAAATTATTTTTACATAACTTTACTGCATCCCAGCACAACAACAGCAAAACCTAAAATGTGTTACCAAGTATTTCCCACTTCTCAATTTTTATCGTGAAGATATTTTTGCAAATTTGTGCATCGTTTTACAATTGGGAATCAAATATTTTTCTAAACAAGATTAATTAGAAGCCAAAACTGTTCAACATAAAAAAGTCATACATGATTAAGATGTATAATTCAGCAGTTCTCTAATATTCTAAATATTACACTATTAGCCTGTATTTCCAAAGGTTATTCAATGAAATTAATTGATAAGGAACTTTCTCTGATAAAGAAAAAAAATGTACGACTTCTGCCTTAACTTCGCTTATACCCAAAAGTCATTCAGGGGCAATTATGTTTAATTTCTACATAATTGTGTAGTTTTAGGGATCTATTTGGTATTGATTTCTATTTTTATTCCACTGTGGGCTGATAATATTGTTGGTATGATTTAAATTTTTTTGAATTTATTGGGACTGGCTTTATGGTTGAGCGTGTGGTCAATCTTGGAGTATGTTCCATGTGCAGATGAGAAGAATGTATATTATGTGGTTGATGGATGCAGTGCTCTGTTAGATGTCTATTAGTTTTAATTGGTCAAGTGTCAAATGTAAGTCCATAATTTCTTTGTTACTTTTATCCCTTGATGGCATCATTAACCGTCAGAGAGATGTAAATCAAAACCACAATAAGGGACAATCTTGCAGCAGTCAGAATGGCTATTAGTAAAAAGTCAAAACACATTTATTTTGGTTGGCAAGGCTGGCAAGGCTGTGGAGAAAAGGGAATGTTTACACACTGATAGTGGTAATGTAAATTAGTTCAGTCACTGTGGAAAGCGGTTTAGAGACTTCTCAAAGAACTTAAAACAGAACTACCATTTGACCCAGCAATCCCATTACTGGGTATATATCCAAAAGAAAATGAGTTGTTCTACTAAAAAGATACATACACTGATACGTTTATAACAGCACTATTCACCATAGCAGTCATAGAATCAACCTAGGTGCCCATCAGTGGTGGATTGAATAAAGAAAATGTGGTACATATATACCAAGAAATACTATGCAGCCATACAAAAGAATGAAATTATGTCCTTTGCAGCCACGTGAATGCAGCTGGAGGCCATTATTCCAAGCAAATTAACACAGGAACAGAAAGCCAAATACTGCACTTCCTCACTTCTAAGTGGGAGCTAAACGTTGAGTACTCATGGACATAAAGACACTGACAATAGACACTGAGGACTACTAGAGGGAGGAGGGCAGGAGAGAAACAAGGGTGGAAAAATTACTCTTGAGTACTATGCTAACTATCTGAGCAACAGGATCATTTGTATCCCAAACCTCAGCATTATGCAATATACAAATATAACAAACCTGCACGTGGACCCACCAAATCTAAAATAAAACTTGAAATTACATTTTTAAACCTGAGACTAAAAAAAGTATTGTGGGTTGAATTTTTGAAACTCATATTCATATGTATGGATTATTGAATCTTTGGGAACCACACAAAGTTTCCTGAGATTTACTTGGAGGCTCTGATGGTGTGGTTTGTACTGTTTGATAACTGTCCAGTAAGGACAGCTTCCTGCCAGGAATATACAGGAGCAACAAACTCCTTTCCCCATGGTTGGTGGATTGCTTAATCACATCCATTGCTCCCCACTTTTCAATGATGTTGAAATTCTGGGTTACACTGCTGATTCTAATTAACAGCAAAGATTTATCTTGACAAGACTTGTCAGCGAATTTGCATTCACCTTCATGTGACTGATACCAATTTCATGAGTTTTGAAATTGGAGTTGTAAGGACTCCAATGGATACTACATATTAAGGGGTACGATTGTGTTCAAACGCTCATTATATTTAGGAGTATAGACAGTGTATTTAAATGTTATCATGCTTTAATTCCTATGGTAAGTTAGTATAAATTGATAGTTAATATAAATTGATAACTTTTTTTAAAAACATGCTTCACTGGCTGATTTGTTAGGGTTTGGCCAGGAGAGAAGAAAAACTGCAAAGTTGGCCCGGGCACGGTGGCTCAAGCCTGTAATCCCAGCACTTTGGGAGGCCGAGACGGGTGGATCACGAGGTCAGGAGATCGAGACCATCCAGGTTAACCCCGTCTCTACTAAAAATACAAAAAAATTAGCCGGGCGTGGTGGTGGGCGCCTGTAGTCCCAGCTACTCGGGAGGCTGAGGCAGGAGAATGGCATGTGAACCCGGGAGGCAGAGCTTGCAGTGTGCCGAGATCGCGCCACTGCGCTCCAGCCCGGGCGACAAAGCAAGACTCCGTCTCAAAAAAAAAAAAAAAAAAAAAAGAAAAACTGCAAAGTTGAACACCACTTAGGAGAGCATGACTATTACAGTAGGAAAAATGAGGAGAAACGCAGGACTCAACTTGCATAGTGGCATGAGAATACCTAAGCTGGAATGAATAGGAAAGATATAGAAGTCTATATTTTTATAATTTGTTTTCTCTTGTTATTGGCAAAGCATTAGCCAAATGTCAAATATTGTTAAATGCTAATATATGGGCCAAGATGGCCAGAAATTGGAAAACTGTTCTGACTTATTATACTCTAAGACCATGCAAAATTGCCTTTCCTGGAGCATTATTTCAGGGTAAAAATGACCAAACCTACCAGGTGTTTGCAGAATCATCTCGAGGACTGGGAGCTTACTGTTTCTAATCCTCCCTCTGCATGGCTAAGCTTTCCAGAGGTACAGAAAGGGCATCCAGTTCAAGAACCCATGTCACTGAATCAGTAGAGAGCTTTTGGGAGACAGAGGTACTAGCCAAATTGCCCAGAGTAGACTTGTTAATAAAATTAGCAAACTTCACGTTATTTCAGTCTGTTACTCTTTCAATGACAGAAGCATTTTCTTTTTGCCTCCTTTCCAGTGGAGCTTCAAAAATGTATCTGTGTTTTGCAAGTCTTGCAGATTTATAATTTTCTGTGTTGGATGTGAACCCCTACACTGGAGAGGTCAGAAAAATTATTCATGAAAAACACAAATCTTGCAATTGATAGATAAGGATAAAATATCGTATCCTCAAGATATGTGGTGCAAATCTATTGCTAAGGCATCTGTGAATGTTTTTAGCTTGGGTTTTTTTAATGCAAATATTAGTGATGAAATCTTAAACTCTTCATTGGTTATCAATAAATATCACTTTTATTTATTGATCAAATTGTCTTCTGACAATTTGTTGTTTTTGAAAATCATTTTCTGCTATCCATCCAAGGGGAGCTAACATTTCTGGAGTAGCTAATAGGTGTTAGATGTAATGATGTGTATTTACCGTCCGTATTTAGGACAACCTTAAAATAATCCTATTCCAATTAAGGAAACTAAAGCTTGGTGAAGTTAAGCATTTTGACTAACGAGAAATGGGCCAGAACATGGATTAAAATCAAGTCAGTCTTTTTTCTGGAAGTGAAATTGGGGAAGAGGGAGAGCTAAATGGGTCAGGGCCTTCTGCCTAATGACTGTACATCTGACCTATCAGGTCCGGTTTTTATGGGTTTTAAACATCTGTGTCATGGTTACTCCTACTGGGAAGTTGAATGTATTCCACATAAGAATGAAGAGACTAATGTGTGCAAACACTTCAAAGACTCTCCCGACAGGAGAGATAGCCTTGGAGACAACTGCCTTCATCATTTTTTACCCCTTCCCCTTCACAGAAAACAATTTCAAATAGTATAACACAGGTTGTATTAGAATCTGTGTGGTGGCTGTAATACTCTGTCTAAATGAACTGAATAAAAACCTCTCTTGGGGCAAACCAGGCAGTTTGGTTTAAATGATCCCTTACTCTGCTTTAAAGTATACTAGTAATACAAGCAAATCCAACTGTAGCCAACAAGTGAGTTCCTAGAATTGCATTTTCTTTGGCAGGTAAATGGTTTTTCTTTGTGCTGGAATCGAAGGTAATGGAGAATAGTGGTTAAGAATACGGGTTTTGAAGTCAAGCAGCTGAGAACTGTAGCACAGTACAATCATTCGTGTGATCATGAGCCAGTTACTTAAGCATCACTTTGCTCCTCTATACTAAGGTGTGAGGGGAAATAACCTGCCTGCAGAGATGCTGTGAGAACAAAACGTTGTAAGTGTGTAAATCACCTAACAGTACCTAGCCTTTAGTTATTTAGTCATTTCTTCTGCACCACGAGTAAGTTAAGTCTTCACACATATCACCTCTCAGAGAACAACTCCATGAGATAAATGTGATTTCATTATTACCTGCATTTAAGAAAACTGAGGTTCGTGAAAAATATTCCTGTAGTCATACATGTGGGCCAAGATAGAAAAGTAGGTTTATGTCTGCTTTCAACACCTGAGCTGCTAAGTATACTACTATTTATTTCACATGATCCTGTGTCACTATGAAATAAGTAGTTGAGTAATTGCTGACATAGAAAGTTAGTAATAGGGGTTATGGGGAGTTAAATGCCTTGGCTCTGTTCATATGGTTGGTAGGTGTTAGAGTTAGGATTGGAACTCTGGTCTGTCTGGTGTTATCTTTTCTTTATTACTAGTATCTCCATTTTCTTTACCTCTTGGAATGCTCCATCTGAATAGCTTGTATACTTCAGGAATCTTTCTGCAGTGCAGATCTCACACTGTCTCTGTCAAGCATTAATTCCTTCAATAATCCCACATTATCTACAGGATAAGGTCAAACCACTTTGTATAACTCACCTTGCTCTTCCCAATCTGAATCCCACCTCCCTCTCTGGTGTGCTGCACACCAACACACTTACGTACATGCTCCAACTCTAGTGCACTACTTGCAACGCCCCCACACTCACCATGTTGTCCTGTATTTCTACATTAGTTCATGCCTGGAATGCACTTGCTCACCTTGTTCAATGTGTGACTTCTTAGTCATCTTTGAAAATTGCAGCACTTTCTAATTGAAAACTGCAGCACTTTCTAAAGTTCTGGTCCATGAGTAAAAACTAACACTCCCATGACCACTACAATGAAAGTATGCCATTTGTCCTCTTGCTGGGATTATAATTGACTGATAGTCCTAGAAGCTGCTCTTAAGATCCAATGGGTCTTTTGCTGCTAGATTTTGTTTCCCATGAGCTGCTTCCAGTCAATGACTGCTAGTAGCTCACTCCCATTCTTATAAAACATAGGACTCCTCTAATGTGCAACTTCATCTCAAGGATGCCCCATTGGCTAGCTAAACCTTTCTTGGAACTGTGCTGCAGGACTGGACTCTCTCTATCCAACCTTTGCCCCTTCCATTCTCCTTCACACATGTCAGACATTCACCGTAGTCTGAAATCTCTCCCTTATTCACCTGCTCACTGCCCCTTTATCCTCCACAGTAATATCTGCCAATAAATTTATTGTGTGTCTAACCCTGTCTCAGTGCCTGCTTCTTGATGGACTTGAACTAACATAGCTATAATAATGCCTTCTCTATCCTGTATACATACTATCACAAAATAATTGCCTTCATTATTTTCTTATCCCCTTCTCTAAATTAAATTATAAACCCTGTAAAATCAGAAAAAATATTGCCTTACTTCATTTATTTTTAGCACTTAGCATACTGTTTGATCCTTAGTGAGTATTTAATAAATATTTGTATAAATAAGTGCTCAAAGTATGATTTTCTCTAACATGAATTGTTTAGGTTAAAACAATCAAAACTATGTGTTTACTTCTCAGGTAGCACTATCAATCAATGTGAAGATAGCTGGAAGTTAGCTTAGTGTTACTAATGCAAAGATTACATTTCAAAGTATTACCATTTAGCTTCCCCATGCCCAAAATATTTTCTTGAGTTCAAGTGAGTTTCCATGCTTATGATCTTAATTTAACTAAACATGAAATCTTGAAATCTCAGTGAATACCTCTCATCACTAAATGAAACAGCTTTGATTAATCACTTTGAGCACTTCAAAATAATCTGTCAGTTAACCTATATTTAACATAAAATCTATGTGAGAGCATTTATTTGTAGGAAAGCATATTCTTAGACAGCTATAAAATCAGATATCAGTTCTTAATATTTCAAGTAAGGAGTGGGATGTAGAATGTTTCTATTTATTACTGGTAAAGCCATTACAAACCTGTTTTAATCTGCATAGTAATAAAATTATCATGACTAACATTATTTTCTCTTGATCATTTCAGGTCTTATATTTTTATTGCAACAAAAAATAAGTATCTCATTTCTAATTGAATTTTTTCTTCAAAATTACACTGGTTTAACAATCTAATTTTGAAATGCCATTTCACTGCTTGACTCCAGCCAGTTCTGTTTTTTTGTCCCACTTCATTTTTCGTATTTAAGATTTCTGTTGGAATTTTTAAATATATTATCTTCTGAATGTATTACGTGATCATTCTTGTGCCATCAGAACTAGTGTCCAAAAAAAAAAAAAAAAGATTTTGTAACGAATTCTCTGTCATGCTCTTCAGGCCATGATCCCCATTCCCCAGATAAGATGCTAAGAATTAAGTAAGTAAAATAATGAGGTGATTGCATAATTAGTAACTGGATATGAACCCAGATTTACCTGATTTTTGACTACCTAATCTTAATTCAGTTGTCTAGAGTTTTGAGTAAAGTTTGAGTATCAGAGAAGTCTGTTTAATATGAAAAGCACAGAATGCTCTTCTAAGAACTTTGTAGCCTGTTCTGGAGGCATTAGAAAGCTACTTAGGTTTTAAGGAAGAAGGAATAATATAATTTGATATCTGTTTGAAAAACGTATCAAAAGTAGAATGTGCAGATAATGTAAAAGATGATGGTTAAAAATAGGAAAGGGGAGATCTGAAGTAAGTTACTGACAAAATCCAAAGAGAAAGTGGTTAGGATCTTATCTAAGAACATAGGCAAGAAAATTGAGAGGAAGAGCAGAGTGAAGAAATATCTCTAAATTCAGTGGCTCAGCAATGTGGGCATTTGATCACATTTCTTAGCCATCATACATTGTTTCCCGCTTGGTAAAATGAAGATAGTACAATATTCTTCAAAATGTTACCATGAGTTTTAAATAATAATATACTATTCTAAACTTGTTTGGTACATACTACGTGCCTAGGCTTTTTCATGAGCACTTTGTTTAATCTAAAAATTTAATTCTCACAACAAGCCCATTAGTTAGGTACTATCACTATCACAGTTTTATGGATGAGAAAACTGAGGCACAATGAGGTAGAGTAAAAAGGGATGACACTGTGACAGTGTGAGATTAAAGTAACAGCAGGTATTATATGTCTGACACATAGAAGGTGCTTTGTAAATGACTATAATTAGCCAAGTAGACTAATGTACTTGAGAGATAGAACCAAACTGGACTCAAGTTTGTTACATGGTAATCCAGCACTTGTTCATGTGAACTGAACTCTGATTGGACCTTCACGGATGGAGTGCAGGTGCTGTCCTTGATGCTGGGAATACAGGGGCAAAGTAAACAAACCCCTGTCATCACAATGATTTCTGTCTGATAAAACAAATGATCTGATGACAGGTAATTGAACAAAGGAAGCTGAGTTGGACTGTTTCCAAATTATTTTCTGCAACACACTGTATACTGGAAACATTTACTCAGGAAGATGGCACAGGAACAAGGCTCAGCAACCATCTTCACTTTGCTGCATTCTCAGTGAGGACAAAGGAAACAAACTGGCTTCAAATCCCTTCTTGAGCCCCTTTTTTGATAGAGTTCACTTTAATCTCTGGACTGTTATAGGTCCAAAGCTATATACAAAGTGTCTAGTTTCTGGTGAATCCCCAGGTGCCGAAAGAGTGCCTAAAACCGAGCGGGCAGTTAACTATTGTGTCTTGAATGAATAGATGAATGAATGAATTCAGGTATTTTTCACTTTTTAAGCTATTCATCCTTTACAGTAAGTTGATTTCTGAGGAAAAAATGAGTATTTAAGAATTAATTACCAAC
This sequence comes from Homo sapiens, assembly GCF_000001405.40. NCBI lineage: Eukaryota > Metazoa > Chordata > Mammalia > Primates > Hominidae > Homo > Homo sapiens. The sequence goes on along the minus strand of NC_000011.10, from coordinate 40,939,407 downwards.
TTGTATATGTGCTAGGATTGATGGTTTTACAAAGAAGATATAATGATTTAAAAGTGTCTTCTAATAATTATTTATAACAAACATTGAAGAGATAATTTTAGCCATTTTATGTGAGCACTAAAACCAGAGCACCCTTTGAATTTCAGAAGTGTCATTGTGCCACCTTTTTAAAATTAAATCTCATTCAAAATTCATATTTTAAACAGCATTGTGAAAACACTAATGTTCAATATAAAAGCATCATTTAGTATTACACCATAGCCAAGAAATCGTGAGACAATTAGTCCATGTTCTTCCGTCTAGTTTTTGTACATGGACATATGTATCATCACAGAATAATCGTTATTTTAGAATTTCCTTTTTTTCCATTCACTATTATATCATAAACATTTCTATAACATTTTATAATTATATAATACTATTTTAATATCTGGATAATATTTTCTCTGTTTGTCCCAGCCCTGTGTGGCCACTCACCCACTTACCTTCAGTAGATCTCTGGAATGTTATCAATTCCAGATGGTGTCTAAAATGATGCATTTGCAAGACAGAACCATTACATTGTAGCATTTTCTAGTTTGAGAAGAGCTTGAAATTTGTGCAATTAAATAATTCCCTTCATTTAAGGATGAAGACACAGACATCAAGGGAGTTGTGGGAACTTGAGCTATGTTCTGAGAAGAATGGTAGAGTGTCAGATCAAAGTTATTCAGCTATGACCTGGACCAATCACTTCACTACCTTGTGCCTTAGTGTGGTCAAGTCTGAATCACCTAGGTCATATTTTTGGAAATGTCATGTTTATCTATTTAAGAAGAGGCAGTAGGTGGTTAAAACTAATGAATGACATTTTCAAATACATTTATACAACACAGAATCAAAATATGCCACATAATGTATTTACCATAATATTGACACATAGTATGTGTTCAACACATACATTTACTGCCATCGTCATTGTTATTATTGTTGTTGTTGTTTGTACAATGTCTCTACTTGGTGTAGTATAGGCATATTTTATAGCTGTTCCTCAGTACATTATCAAGTACAGTGAATTATCCATAGGCTTTCCTCACCCTTCGCTTGGATCTTTTCTCTGTGACAGTACAGAATCATTGCGGTGCACTCATCCAAATGGAGAAAGGTCAGAGGGAGATTACGTTTTCTTTCCTGCCAGAATAGCTGTTTATCAGGAGGAAAGGAACTGTCAGAACTGGAGGAGACCTGCGCCTGTTCATTCATCTTTGCCCCTTTCTGCCAATGCAGGATAACTACTGAAAGAACATTCTTAAGTGATGCTTTTTAAATGACTTCAAGCAGTAGTGCTTCCAATTAGATTGATATTTGTCATAACTATTTTATTGGCTCTTGATAATCACAGAGAGAATTACTGCTATTACTCTCCAACATTACGATGAATCAGTTCACAGAAGAAATTACAAAGAAGAGCAGGCTGGGTGCAGGAGCTCACACTTGTAATTCCAGCACTTTGGGAGGCCAAGGCAGAAGGATCACTTGAACACATGAGTTCAAGACAAGCCTGGGAAACATGGGAGACCCTGTCTCTACAAACAAACAAACAAACAACAACAACAACAAAAAGCTGGGCATGGTGGCATGTGCCTCTGTCCCAGCTACTCGGCAGGCTGAGGTGGGAGAATTGCCTGAACACAGGAGTTCGAGGCTGCAGTGAGCCATGATCACGCCACTTCACTCCAGCTGGGGTGAGACTCTGTCTCAAAAAAGACAACAACAACCACCCTACACACACACACACACACACACACACACACACACACACACATATACACACACTCAAGAAGAGTGAATTATTGGAGAGACTGAGTACTTTACAACTGAAGAGTTATGCAACAAAGTGATGATGTCTTAAGAGTACCCTAGTATTAGTTACTCTGTATTTTTTTTTAATTTCAACTTTTATTATATTAGACATGGAAGTGCATGTGCAGATTTATTACAAGGGAATCTTTTGTGATGCTGAGGTTTGGGGTATGGATCCCATCACCCAGGTAATTAGCATAGTACCTGATAGGTAGTTTTTCAACCCATATCTCCCACCCTCCCTCCCCACTCTAGTAGTCGGCAGCATCTGTTGTTCCAACATTTTTGTCTCTATGTGCTCAATGTTTAGCTCACACTTGTAAGTGAGAACATTCTGTATTTGGTTTTCTGTTCCTGTGTTAATTCACTTAGGATTATGGCCTCAAACTGCATCCATGCTGCTGCAAAGGACATGATTTTATTCTATTTTTATGGTTGCATAATACTTCACATTTATATGTACCACATTTTCTTTATCCAATCTGCCATTGATGGAAACCTGGGTTGATTCCATGTCTTTGCTATTGCAAATAGCACAGAATGAACATACATCTGCTGACAATGTTAGACAGTTACTTTGTTTTTAATTTATCATGAGTCTTCCAGATGTTCCCCAAACTTAACTCTCAGTTAAGAGTGATTGCCTTCTTGGAACGCTGCTGTATGGACTCCAGATTATATAATTCTAATTTCAAATTAGAACTTGTTTTTGTGTTAGAAAGCTGTCTAGGTTGGCATCCCAATTTTACCATTACTGGCTTTATGTCCTTATGCAAATTATTTAATCATTCTGTTTCTGTTTTTATATTTTTAAATAGACATGATTATAATTGCAACTACACAGCGTTGAGAATTAAATAAAATAATACATGATGTTACCAGTTAATGTAGTGCCTGATGTATGGTAAGTGCTTGAAAGTGTTAGATACTGGCCGGGCACGGTGGCTCACACCTGTAATCCCAGCACTTTGGGAGGCAGAGGCGGGTGGATCATGAGGTCAGGAGATCGAGACCATCCTGGCGAACATGGTGAAACCCTGTCTCTACTAAAAACACAAAAAATTAGCCAGCTGTGGTGGCGGGCGCCTGTAGTCCCAGTACTCGGGAGGCTGAGGCAGGAGAATGGCGTAAACCTGGGAGGCGGAGCTTGCAGTGAGCCGAGATCGCGCCACTGCACTCCAGCCTGGGCAGCAGAGTGAGACTCCATCTCAAAAAAAAAAAAAAAAAAACAAGTGTTAGATACTATTGTTGCTATTATTAAATTCATTATTAGCATATGACATATTTCTCAGGCCCTTTAAATCAGGTGAACATAAATTATCTAATTTAGATGTTAATAAAACTTACTATGGTGAAAAATAACCTATTTTACAATTCAAAAGACCCAACTTTAATATTGGGTCCACCACAAATTAATTATAATATCTGGAAATCATTGCAGCTCAGTTACATTGCAATACACATTTTTTCTCAGGACAGAGTTAAGGTTCAAACTATGTTATATATATATATATATATATATATATATATATATATATATATATATATATAAAATTTGGCATCTTTTTAGTAGTTTTTAGTACTCTCATCACATTCTTACTGAGAGTCCCATTTTATTTACTCAGCTCCCTTTAAAGATGGAGAATGTGTTATTACTCTAGTTTATAGCTGAGGACCTGAGACTCAGAATGAAGTTACATCACTAAACACAGTGAAACAGGAAGTAGAACCTAGATTTTCTTAAATCAAGAGAATGAACTCATTTATTCTGTGACTTTCTAGTTATCTGAAAACGTCAACCACCCAATACACTTTTCTGCTCCAATAGACTAATTTCTCTTGGGAATACATTCTAAAAATATGTGTCATTAGGCAATTTCATTCTTGTAAGAACATCATATTGTGTACATATGCAAACCTTTATTGTATGCCCTACTATACACCTAGGCTATGTGGTAAGGCTCATTGCTCCCAGGCTACAAACCTGTACACCATGTTACTGTACTGAAATATTATAGGAAGTTATAACACAATGCTAAGTATTTGTGTATCTAAAAATACCTAAACATAGAAAGGGTACAGTGAAAATATGACATTATAATCTTATGAGACCACCGTCATATAAGTGGTCTGTTGTTGACTGAAACATCCACGTGCAGTGTATGACTATATTAAGCAGACATGGCTCTGTTTTGTCAGAACAGACATGGATGAAAACAATAATAAAGACACAAGATTTTCCTCTGCATCTCACAGTTGAGGAAGCTGTAAAGGGACTGAATTTTGAACCCAATAACATTAATAAATTATTTAGCAATCTACTTAGAATGACTTCACTTCCTTAATCAACAAAATATTATTTAAGCCCCTACTACATACCTGTTTTGAATATATTTTGTTATTCAGGGAAACAAGGAGTGCAGCAGTGAAAAAAACTAATGGAAATCCCCACCCTCATGGGGTTTTCTTGCTTAATGGGAGGAGAACAACAATTTTAAAAAGTCTGTTTGTCAAAGATGTTGTATGCTAGACGGTAATAAGTGCTTTGAACCAAAATTAAGGAGGGAAAGAATAGGGTCAACGTGTAAGTCATGTGTTAAGTCTTTTTGCATAAGATAATGGTAGGATGTTGTTCTGACCTGAGGAGAAATAGCAGGAAGAGAAAATTGGTGGTGGCAGGGAGCTCCCTTTGGGATATTCTAAATATAAATAGCTTATTAGCACTCTAAATGTGTAGAACAAGTAGAGAGTTGGCTGGGCTAAAATATAAATCTGTCAATTCCAGGTGTGTAAATAGTATTTCAGTCATAAACCTGGATTAGACCTTGATGGGAGTTAGTCTACTAGGAAATAGGAGATAGTCAAGAGATAAGCCATTATTATTACAAACAATTAGAAGGAAACCTCAGAGGAGACTAAGAAAGTTTGACCCATTGTGGGAGGAAAACTGGAGAGAACGGTGCTCTGGAAGCCAAGTGAAAAAAAAAGTGTTTTAATTGGAAAGAAATGCTAAATTATTATAGCGTAAACTATAGCAGTACTAACTAAGTCTAATTTACTCCAGGATAGAGTAAGGAGAAATTGAAAGTAATGTGTGAATGTCTGTTATTTGAATAAGGCAGGTGGTCATTAAAGAAAGTAAACACACGAGTGCACACACACGCACATGCAGATAAAATATTTTCCATGCCTTCGGAGTGCAAAGGCAGGGACATAGAATTAGGAACACCAGCTATAAATCTCATAAAATATGACAAACAAAGGTCTGTGGGATTACGGATGAGGTAGAGATTAGTTTTGATTGGCTACTTCAGAGGGAAAAGGTCATATTTCAGCTGGGTATTAAAGAATGACTATGAGTTTGTGGATGAGAAATAGGAATAGACAAAAGAATAATGACATTTCAAGTGAATAAGATAGAAGGAAAATGGTATAGAGGCATGAAAAGGCACAGTATGTTTAAACAAGGAATAAACTCATTTGACAAAAATAGACCTTGCAAAGAAAACAGGGATAAACAGCACCAGATATGCCTTTTTTCCTTTGTTAAAAATCTTACTCAACAGTCCAATAGAAAGACAAATTTGATAAAGTGACACTTTTCTCAGAACCAAATATTGTGATTGACATCATTTTGCAAAAAGCCTTTTATATTCTGGGAAAAGCCTCAAGCATGGCATATTATAAAATGAATATACACGGATAAACTTACTGTAGAGAAATATAAATTATTCCCTGTAGGTTATTCCATTAGGTCAGTTTTAATTTCAAGTAACTTTGCTTGGGCTATTTTCTAACTTTCTTAAATGTAATGCCATGTTTTAATCGTATGTCTTTTCTAGAAATGGTTCTCTTTACTGCGAGGCTGCAAGGTCACCCAATGAGAGAGGGGCCAAATAAGCTGGAACATCATCTAATACACTGAATGTAGGTGAGTGAAACAATAATAGCTTTAAACAAAAGTAGAAAGAAATGTTGTTTCATATATGACTAGAAATGGTTCTCTTTACTGCGAGGCTGCAAGATCACCCAATGAGAGAGTGGCCAAATAAGCTGGAACATCATCTAATACACGGAATGTAAGTGAGTGCAACAATAATAGCTTTAAACAAAAGTAGAAAGAAACGTTGTTTCATATATGACTTATACTACCTTGGAATAGTCCATGTTTGTAAATTAATATGGTCAATTGCTGGATACATGGCATGGGCCAGGCTCTCACTGGTGAGTGTGGGGTTGCTGCACACACCTGTGTCAGGGCTCCATTTCTCCTTGAGGCACACAAATTACAGTTTTGCCAGGAGTCAGTTTGTCTCTTGTAACTGCTCTGCTTCTAGTAAAACATTGCAAGTCTGCTTTCTAACTGCAGTTGCATGTATTTTCACTTATTCCACTTTCTGACTCCTACTGAACTCATAATTTATCCTTCCTTTATCTTTCTCTATCAACCTGGTCCATCAGACACTACACTTAGCTTTATTTGCCACGCAGAATCCAAAGTCAGTCACTGAGTTCTCTCCAACCCTCTAGCTCTCTATGAAATCTATCCCCTGGCATATTTTTCTTGTCAGTTGACCAGTTAATATTTATTTGTATAATTGATTATTGGATGTACCCTTCACTAGATCAAATATTCTATGCAGGCAAGAATCATGTCTGTTTGCTCATACCTCTTGGATATTTAACACAGCCATGCTGTCTGACCGCATCTAGTCCTGAATAGGATGTGACCACATGAAATGTTCCAGCTCTTTCAGCATTTTTCAAAATCTCTATTCTCCATGGGCTCAAACCTTGCCCTGACTTCCTTAGTTTCAAATGAATTAGCCTCCTCTTTTAAAAAAAGATGAGGCTATTTGATGTGCACAGCACCGAATTTTTCTTCTTTAAACCTTAAAATATCTCTTTATCTTTACCTATACTCTATTTTCCAAAATAATCCCTCATATTAAATTTTAATTATAACACTTTCATTCCTTTACCAATTTTACTGAATCAGCTATTCGTCTCTAAATTTGCATTTCTCCATTTCCCTGGTTCCTTCCATGCAGACTAAAACCAAACATGTTTCTCTAATCCTGGAAACATATAACCAACTAAAATCCAAGCAAAACTATTCCCCATCATTTCACTCTTTTCCTGTGTTCTTCCCCACATTAGCCCCTCTTTACCCATTCAAACTTCTTGAAACAACTCTCAATATTCTTGTCCAATGCATGGTAAATTCCATAGAAGAAGGATCTATTTTTGTTTCATTGTGCATTGCATTTCCAGTATCTAACACAGCATCTAAAATGATAGGAGCTCAATAATTAAATAAATAAATATTAGTTCTCATCTCTCTTCCCACTCTGAGTGTTAAAATTTTGCTTCAAGCACTGCTTAAATTACTCTCACCAAGATAACCAACAGTAATAACTCCCTCCTCTCTTTTTCAATTTATAGCAATGCTGCAAATTCTCTTTTATATCCCATATCATAATCTATCCTAATTATTTTAACTGTATATGTCTCATCACTTCTTCAGAGTCTCAGCCCCTTGAGGTCAGGACAATTAACTTGGTTATTTCTTTTGCTTCCCTAACTCTTAGCTAAGAACTTATTTCTCAACTTTTTATTAATGACTTCAATTAATAGATTTAAGTACTGAAGGATCGATCCTCTGACATTACTCGGACAACTTTAGCACTACCTTTGGTAAAATGTTTTGTCCCTGAAATAAAAATGTAAAAAATGGAATAGAATATCCTGCTACAAACCATTTCAAAATCATTGGAGGAAGAATTCTAAAACTTTATACCAAACGAATCATGACATTTATATATAGGCTTCATAACTATATATAATCACTTAAAAATAATTATAAGTATCTACGCATATGTATGCTACACACACACACACACATACACACCCCTTTATCCTTGGCTACTTTAGTGCATTATGATCAAACTTATGCATTAAATGCCTGCAGTATATATCAATTGGGGCTCTATGATAAACAAATATATGCATGCGAACTTAGACATATACCACACAAATAAGCCAAGTAAAATATAACCCCCTATAAGCTAACATTCTCACAAAAGGGACAACATAAAATCTGAGTTAAATAGTAAGACTCTGCTTATTAAACATATATAAGCAATAAGAACACATGCATGCACACGTGTCTAAAAAATTGGTTGTAACTATATAAACGAATAGTCATTGATTAAATTATTTCTAAGAAAATAAAAGCCTTTTCTACTGTCTTTAAATTCCCAGTAAATGTACACAATAGAAGGAAGAAAACCCTAAGCAGCTGTTTTAGGAGTTTGAACAGAGATTTAATAATTATTCCACATTTCCCTTCCCTCTGTCTTCATTTTCTGCAAACTCAAAATTGGATTCTTGTTTGTTTGCTGTTTGATTCTTTTCTTCCACTAACTCATATGGATCAGCAGATCAACTTGAGTGTATTTGCCCCAGGTCTGAGATTCTAAAACTCTTCTGGGACACTGTTTCTTGTAATTACCTACAGCTGCATTTACTAAAACCCACAGATTAAAGTTTTCCTACAAGCACCTTGCTCAGGCCTTTGGGAGATCTTACAGTCCATGGAAAGGGATCAGGAAAATCCAAACTGATTGGTGGCTTGAGGGCCAAATAATTTATTGTTTAATTAACTTTTCTGTTTTTCCATTAGTTGTGACTTCACATAAACATAAATAATTTATGAAATGTTTGGGGGATTTAATTTGTTTTGGCCCCCAGTAAAAAGTCTTGAATGTAACCCATTTTTAGACTTGGATGTAAATGCTATTGCTTATATGATATTCACTCATATGGATCACTGTATCATAGGGGCATTTGTAAAATCAAAACAATTCACAAAGTAGTGATATTTTAAAAATCTAGACACAGCAGCAATTCAGGGAGAGCCATAAAGGCTTATAGAGAATCACTTTAAGATGGGAGGTCTCTCAGTCTCTAATTTGGTAAGTTGAATGACTATGTGGTTTATAGTCTTTGCCTTCTCTGTAAATATTTGGCATATACATTGGGTCAAGCCTTGAAACCATGTCTGCATGTGATGTATCAGAGACACTAATTCAGAAGGACCCCGAATTCTATTATATTAATTCTATTTAGCTGTTCAGTTAGCTCTCTTTTGTTTGCCTTTTCATGCTGTCCTCTTTCTGGTAAGTTGACCTGTAAAGGCTAGAGCAATAGGCTCCAGTCCCCACTTTGGCCATTAGGAAGTCCTAGCAGCGGATAATAAGAAAGAAAAAGTGAAATCAGCGTCTCTACTCTCCAGGTTTCTTTGTGTGTTCATCTCAGACTGGCTGGATTCCTCAGCCAAAGGTTTGGTATTTTTCTTGGCTACCTTCTAGCCATGAAACATGCAGACACTGCTTACCTGAACAGCTTCCTCCCCTACTACCTTCTGGACTAGAAGTGGTAACAAGTCTTTTTCTCTTATTAGCCCCGGGTCCTGCATTCTCATTTATGGCTCCCTAAGCCCTGGTTATATATTTGTAAGAAACTTTCACTGAATTATCTTAATTTGAGAGTGCCAGCTATTTCCTGTCAGAAATCTGATAGAATTCTCATTGCTATTCCTAAATTAGCTTCATATTGATTGTAATTTTGTAAAATTATGGCTAGTAGAGCTGAATATTAAATTAAATGTAACTGTTTAGGATAATAGACATGAATTACATGTCAATAGAGGAAAGGTCTTGGAAAAATAAGAAAAAATATTGCATTAGTAACATTTGCTCTTTTCTTTCATATGTTTACTTTGGACACTGAATTACATTTAAGAATTGAATAACTAGCTACTCGGGAGGCTGAGGCAGGAGAATGGCGTGAACCCGGGAGGCGGAGCTTGCAGTGAGCCGAGATCGCGCCACTGCACTCCAGCCTGGGCGACAGAGCGAGACTCTGTCTCAAAAAAAATAAAATAAAATAAAATAAAAAAGAATTGAATAACTAGAAGGTGGTGCTATTTCTGGTGAACTTCCTCCCTTTTTACTATGGACGGATAGCACTGAAGTTATAATGAATTCACCAGTACACCCAAACTACATTTTTCCCCATTTAATTTTTTGTGTTTAAAAATGTTAGAGGTTAGTTGACTGATATGGCCAATAGTTGCACTACTTTGTTTTTATTTATTTATTTTTATTCGTATGCATTTAAGGGGTACAAGTGCAATTTTGTTACATGAATATATTGCATAGTGGTGAGGGCTGGTCTTTTAATGGATCTAGCACCTGAGTAAGTTAAACTCTTTTAGACCTTGATAAACTTTTAAAGAAGTATGGGATTAATGTGGCATGGATGGCCATATTTGCCAAAAAGGAAGGCTGGCTGTATTGGTATTGTTGGCATCCAGTAGGTCAAATAATTATTTTAATAATTTGCTTTAAGTTTTGCAACTTTAAAGAGGAAGTGTCTAATACCAATAGAATTGGACTTCTTCCATTTGTGAAGAATTCAGAAGAGAAACATGTTTTCTTATTTAATTATACAAATTAGTCTCTGAACACTTTTTAATATTGGTATTAGAGGAAAGAGGCAGTTCTTGATATTAAATTTAACCTTGTAGAATGGTATACAATTATGCACCAAAATGTTTCCACAGCATTTTAGTGTTTTAAATTTGCTTGCTGATTTGAATTTGTAGAAGAAATTGCACACTTATTATGAAGTATTTGGGAAATTAAGAAAAAATGGTATAAGCCTAGCATAGAACAATTATTATTTTAGTTAACTTACCCCAATTTTCTTTTAGTTTTAATTTTAATTCACATATGATATTTTTATTCATAGGTCAAAGATTTTTCCAAATTTCTACATAGTTTTATAATAGTCAAAATTATTAAATGATTTTAGTAATTTAATAATTAAATTTAGCATTTGTACGGAATGCCAAAGCAAACATGCAATTTAGTGAAACTATGACTGGACTGTGGCCTTCTTAAGTACCTTTAAGAAGGCTGCTGGCCACAGAGTAAATATTCAATAAATGTTAGCTATTATTACTTAATGAAAGAGATAATAGAATTTTAAAAATATAGATTACCTCCATTGTTGCCATTTGAAAATATTCCACTACTCCCATATTGTGAATTAGCAACTTTCATCAATTCTAAGATGCATAATTATTTTTTCAAAATTTTCCAACTCCATCTCATGATGTGCCTCAATTAAATGCAATAATATTTAATTTTCAATATGTTTTTATTTTGTGTGATACATTAAAAAACCAGGAAGTCCGTGACATCTTAATATTTATTTTAGAAATATATATTTATAAATATATATTTATAAACACATATGGCAAGGGATGCTGAAAGAAACGTTAGGTTAGACCATACTACTTTCATATCATCATCTGAAAGTCCTTCCTATTTTTCACCATGAAAATTGCTACAAAACAGTGTAAGATTTAGATAGTGAAACAATAAGAAAGCAGTTAATTTCACTACTTGAGTTATAGGGTTTTTTAAAAAACAATATATTTGTAACTAATATTTCCCTTTTAAACTTCTAAATAATGTTTTAGGTCATAAAAGTTATGGATCTACTTAAAAAAAACTTTACATTGATTCATTAGGAAAAATTACTAAAAGTAAGTGAAGAATGTTTTTCCCCCGCTGACACAACATCTCTTTAAAAATGAATACGTGGTAGTCTGATATACATACCTCTCCCCAGTAATTCAGCAGAAACTAGGCTCTGTGTGAAACACCTAAGTGAACTATAATATGTCAAAAGCATGCCCTTAAGTACTTCCTACTTATAGGCAAAAACACAATTTAGTTGTAATAATAGAAATTATATTTTAATCAATATGCCCTTTGCTATTAATCCATTTTTAACTGCCCGAAGAGGCTTTAATAACATGTTAGGAAAATCAACCAACTATAGAGTAACTCCAAAGAGCAAAGGACTAGAATCCTTTCATTTCCAATTTATTATGTACAAAATTGACTTATATAATTTGCACACTTGTTTTTCCTAGAAACACATAGCTATTCTTTATGTACTCAAGGTGTCTTTCTTGGCAACTCAGAAAGAATCTGTAGGGTTTATTGGTACCACAAACTTTATAACAATTAATAAATACATATTTTGTTATCTTTAGTAAGGACTATATGTTTGATAATATTCTTTTTTTTTTCCTTTTTTTAATTTTTTTATTTTTTGAGTCACAGTCTTTATTGTTCAGGCTGGAGTCTAATGGCATGATCTTGGCTCATTGCAACCTCCGCCTCTCGGGTTCAAGTGATTCTTCTGCTTCAGCCTCCTGAGTAGCTGAGATTGTAGGTGCGCACCACCACACCTGGCTAATTTTTGTATGTTTAGTAGTGACAGGGTTTCATCATGTTGGCCAGGCTGGTCTCGAACTCCTGACCTCATGGTCCACCCGCCTCAGCCTCCCAAAGTGCTGGGATTACAGGCGTGAGCCACCGTGCCTGACTGATAATATTCTTTAATAATCAGCGACTGCTGCATTACAGACATAAGCTAGATTTTACCTTTATCCAAATTTGCTTATTTTATTGATTAGCTTTATGTTTTACAACAGCATACTCATTTTGGAAATATCAGGAAATAAATATAAGTCCCCTAATGATCTGAACACTCATGATCCTCCCCTGACAAACATAACCATCCTTAACACTGATGCACATATATTTACATAGTTTATGCCTATATCTGAAGTTTTTATTCAACATTTTATTGAAAATATTATTCTTGTTAAATAAGTATATGTGTAATTTTTTTTTAACTTTTAAGGTTTGCATAGTATTTCTGTGTAGACTTCTATCTTGACTTATTTAATGAATACTCTAGTATTAGAAGTACCCTGGAACTTAAAGTATAATTTTAAAAAAAGTATACTATAACCAAATTTACATGGTTAAAAACAGTGGTGGATGAATATGCCTATCATTCATTGTGAATACCCTTTTCTATTTTAGCAGATTCATTTACCAAATTAAAATATTAGAGTAACAGGAATACATTTCAGTGTCTTATGTCCTTGCCAAATTTAGAAAGTTTTTATCAAGCATTGTAAGAGAGTGCTTCAGTATTTTCAAAAAACATTTGCCAATCTGATAGATGACAATGCTCTTTCATTATTATTTAGATTTTTCTTTTTTCATCATTAATGAGCATTAATCATTTTCAAACATTTATTGTCGAATTTATTTCACTTTTCATTAGTTGTCCATTTTTGTCCTTAGCTGCATCATGTCTACTGAGCACAAATTAGGGAGGAGGACATCATGTACAACATGGAGCACGGAGGTCACAGGACAGAAGGAAAGAACGCAGCCTCCCTAGTAGGCATTGCTGCCTGCTGGAAAGTAATCTCTTCATCCGGAGACTTGTGATGAATTTGGCATTTGTACTAAAGGCCAAAGAAAACATGCAATTTAGTGAAGCTCAAGTCTGACTAGTTCTTAGGATTTCTGCTGATTAAACAACAACAACAAAAAACCCTTAGATTTGGACTTAAAAAAAAAAAACACCTTTTAGCAGGTGTTATTAGAACTGTTAACAGTAAAGCTTAGGATGTTTCTACATTTAAATAAGCACTCAAAGGAAAGCAGAAACAACATTATTGACCATATACCATGTTATAGAAAGGAACTAAAGATTTACCAATGTTATCTTTTGTCAATAGACTTGTATATTTCGTTTTAGAATTCATTTCATCCATTTTTATCCTCTCAGTGCCTAAAATAATGCCTGGCACATAGTAGAATTCCAGTAAATGTGAAATAATCTCCAATTTACAGACAATAAAGTAAATGATAATAGAGATAAGCAATTTTTACCATGGGGACTCAGCTACATAGTGATAATTTCAGGATTCAACATAAGTTTGTCCAAACCCAAACGCTGTGCTCTAAATATTATATAAAATATTTTTCCCTATTATAACTTTCCTTTTGTTATCTATTCTACCTGGAGGAATAAATTAGATTATGCTGTGGAACAAACAACTTCAATATCTGAGAAGCTTAAAGTGGCAAAGTTTCCTTCTTATATGTGCTGCGTGACAGTTGCAGGTTAACCAACTTTTGCAGGTTAACAAGCCCATTGTTCTTTCTCCAAGATTCAGGCTGAGGTAGCAGATACTCCCTGGACCACTGACAGTTGCCATGGCAAAGAAATGGAGAAAGAGAGTGTGCTGAATATTCTTTCCCTTGTTTTGTTAAAGCTTTTGCCAGAAGTGATGTGTGACACATCTGCTCATACATCACTTGTCAAAGCAATTTATGAATGAAGCTTCATGAGGGCTTGAGGGTGGGAAAATAAAATTGGGTAGCCCAACATAATCACATGGGTTTTTATTGAATGAAGAAGATTGACAGGGGAAGCAAAGAAGAAGATGTAAATATGATACACAGGAAAGAGAGAGAGAGAGAGAGAGAGAAATATTTGGGGATGGCTCCTCCCGCTGGTCACTAAATCCTCAAATAACTAAGTTCCAGGCATAGCACATTTGCTCTCTCCCTGGAAGAAACAACCCAGAAGAAAGAACCCAAGCTCCTCTTGGCTTGGAGAAATACAAATAAAAAGTCAAATTTTCTGCGCCTTTCAAAAATGATGTGTAATGATCAAACAATGACAGAAGTAAACACACTTGCTGGAATTGAGTATGTTCCTTGATTAACTGCAATTTTGCTCTATGGAGGAGGTCCCTCTCTTCATGATTTTCTCATCTATATTTTCTTATTTTAGCCTTTGAGAGATTATTTTTAAAATACTTTTTATTGATCCATAATTGTACACATTTATGGGATATATATATGATATTTCAATATGTGGATACAATGTGTTAACGATCAAGTCAGGTATTTAGCATATTCCTCACCTTAAATATTTATCATTTCTTTGTGCTGTGAACCTTCCAGATCCTCTCTTCTAGCTAATTTGAGGTACATGGCAAATTATTTACTGTAGTTACCCTACTGTGCTATCAAATACCAGAACTTATTTTTTCTCTCTAACTGCATATTAATACCATTAACTAATCTTTCTCTATCCCACCCCTCCCTGCCCAGCCTTACCTATTTGATTCCAGTAGATTCTTTATGTTGTTGCCCAGACTACTAGTATTTTTTAAGGCATACAGTATTTTTTAGCTTTTGCTACATTTCATTCTCTTCCAAAATTACTTCTTTCAAGCTGCATGCTGAATAATGAGCATGTAAGGCCTATCAGGTTTCAATTAAAGAACCACATCCTTTGTCTCCTGCCTCATAGCCAAAGTGTTCAATTGAACACTAGGCAGCTGAACTCTTATTCTCTCACCTTACTCCATACTCTCAACAATGGGTGTGAGGGCCATACTTTGGACTGGATCCTTGCTACAAGCTTCCATTTTTAAGGGCTTTGAACCTAATATCATATATATACATATATATATATATACACACACACACACACACACACATACACACACACACATATATACACACACATATATATGTATATATATAACTCTACAAGTCCCTGAATTCGTGGAATGACTTTATTTCCTTTAATTACTGATTGTAAGCTAATTACTTTCTGAGCTCATTCTCTTTTCTCTAATGCATTGCTAAATACAGAAAACATCAAAAATTAGCATTTGGTAGACTAATTCTTCCTCCAAAGCTACAGGTTCATTAATTCTATAGAAGAATGCCCAACTTAAAAGAGGTGACAACTTCACCAAATGCTTGTCCATTACATAAGACAAGTTATAATGCATCTTGTCTCCTATAACAATTTTCTCACTATTATTGTCTATTCAGCCAAGGACATTTTTTCTCAGATTTTTCTATTACAGCATTCTTCTTTTAGATATCATTTTTAGGAGTCCAAATAAACTAGTTTAGTAAAAAACTTCAATATATCAGTTGTTTAAAATAACAAATGAATATTATTTACTTACATTTTGCATCCATTATAGACAGCTCTGTTCTATGTCATTTTACTTGGGACTCCAGGCTGAGGGAGGTTTCATCTTTACATTTCCATGGTTGCTGAGAAGATAAACAGGAACATGGAAAATTGCACATTGACTGTTAAATTCTTCACCCAAAAGTGACAAGTGTGACTTCTACTCACACATTATTGGTCAAAGCAATATACACTGCCACATTTAACTTCAAAATAATTGGAAAGTAGAATCCTACTACTTTTCTGGAAAAAAGAACAATAAATATTGGGTTAATCATACAAGGACTAACACATTATCATATCCTCCAATAATTTATTGTTGAGAAGAATGACTCTTGGAAAATATGGCAACACCATTTTTCTCACGTTGATTGTTAGATCTTTACCCAATGCATAGAAATAAGTAGGTTTTCAATGACCTTTTGTTTAAGTAAATGAAATGTAACAATGTTTTCTAATTAGTGATGGTCAGAAAGATGTATGACAGGCTGGTGCAGTGGCTCACACCTGTAATCCCAGCACTTTGGGAGGCTGAGGGGGGCAGATCACCTGAGGTCAGGAGTTTAAGACCAGCCTGCCCAACATGGTGAAACCCTGTCTCTACTAAAAATACAAAAATTAGCTGGGTGTGGTGGCGTATGCCTGCAGTCCCAGCTACTTGGGAGGTTGAGGCATGAGAATCACTTGAACCGGGAGGCGGAGGTTGCAGTGAGCAGAGTTTGCGCCACTGTGCACCAGCCTATACAACAGAATGAGACTCTGCTTCTGAAAAAAAAAGTATCACATTTTAAAGTTGTAAAATTCACTTCACCTATACTACCCAACACAATCAACTATCACTGATATATTACTGCCCTTGCATTTGTTTGCAAAATTTATATTGATTTTCTCTTGGATATTCCCTTTCTCCTTGCCTTCCAACTTTCCAATTTGCCAAAGAAGAGTATAAAGTTATTGACAGACTACAGGTATTTTAAATAAGCATAGAAAACTAGTCAGAAGGGAGTTTATGGCACCAGGGTGTACTTTTGGTGACGAATCACATCTTTTACCACATGCATAATTAAAATGATCTTGACAAGAGAATGACTGTGCTGGCAGAAACTATCTTAATGCAATAGCAGTAAAGAATGACAGAGTTCAAGGTTTCTGTTAACCAACAGCAACTTTATTTTTCCTCTACAATAAACGTCTTCAAATGAATTATAAAGATTAAGTGGACAGCCTTACAAAGGAAATAGCTATGGTTTAAGAGATAACTTATTTAATGTTACTTCAGGGGCGAAGAAAAGTCAAACATTTTCTGGGGAAATATACATATTCTCATTAAACAGTATAATACATTTTCAGGAAAATAGGACTCCACCTCTACTCTAAAAATCTAAAAACTTGTACGGAGTGGTAAGGTATGGGGAGGGAAGGAAGGGGAAAGAGACAAAAAGAAGGGAGAGAGAAATATGAGAAGTTAGTATGTTCTTAAGTGCTGAATCACACATATCTACCTTTTCCCCCTAAACTGAGTAAAATTACTTTATAATATACAAAATTAGTTTGCAAAGTATTTGATAACTGAGAGTATTGCCAAACATTGAATTTGTTATACTCATGAGACACTGCCATTTGTCCTTAGAAGGCAGGAAGAGGGAATTTAAATTTGTTTGTAAGGAATATTACAGAGTAGAGGATTCCAAAAATTCAAGTGTGGTTTATAAGGAACCTACAAATTGTTGAGTTGTATTCCCCTCAGATCATTGATGCAAATTTACAGTAGTCTAGATTATGTTTATTTTCCATTGCTATTGTAACAAATTATCACAAATTTAGTGGCTTAAAACAACCAGATTGGTAATGTTGCCAACACAAAGAAAAGATAAATGTTTGAGGTGATGGATATTCCAATTACTTTGATTTGAATATTATACATTGTATGCAGGTATCAAAATGTCATATGTACCTCAAAAACATGTACAATTACTATATATCAACTTTTAAAATTTGTTGAAAAAAACAAGGTGATTATCTTATAATCCTGTCTGACAGAAGTTCCTCATAGGTCTTACTGAGCTAAACTGAAGATGTCAAGAGGACTGCATTCTCTTCTTGGTGATCTAAGGGAGGATTCATTTCCTTGGTAGTTGTGGTTGCTGGCAAAATTCAGCTCTTTGCAGCTGTAGGACTGAGCTTTTTCTCCTGGCTGGCTGTCAGCAGAAGGTCATTCTCAGCTTCTAGACATCATTCACATTCCTTGGTCCCTGGCCTCCTCCATCTTAAAAATTAATAATGACAGATTTAGTTACTTTTCTGTTTCAAATTTATCCTTCTCCTTCTATCTCAAATCTCTGACCCACTTTTCTGCCTTTCTCTTCCACTTTTAGAGATTCATTTCAAGCCAGACTTGGTGGCTTAGGCCTGTAATCCCAGCACTTTGGGAGGTAGAAGTGGGAGGATCACTTGAGCCAAGGAGATTGAGACCAGTCCTGACAACATAGCGAGACCTTGTCTCTACGAAAATTTTTTTAAAATTAGCTGAGTCTGGTGGTGCATGCCTTTAGTCCTAGCAATTTGGGAAGCTAAGGTGCAAGGATCCGTTCAGCCCAGGAAACTGACGCTGCAGTGAGCCATGATGATGACACTATGCTTCAGCCTGGACAACAGAGCAAGACCCTATCTCAAAAAAAAAAAAAACCTTGATTATGTTGGGCGCACCTGGATAATCCAGGATAATCTTCCCATTTTAAGATGCTTAACTTTAATCAAATCTGCAAAATGCCATGTGAGGTAATATAGTCACATGGTCTAGAATGTAACGATTCAAGGTAACATGCTCACAGGTTCCAAAATTTAGGACATGGTCATATTCGGATGGGAGGCACGTTATTCTACGTACCACAAAGATCTCATTGTGATATCCATGTTTGGGCTGCTCTGAGATAAATGGGTGAATTGAGTCATCAGTTTCCTATTAGAAGTAAACATGAGACTGGCCACTCATGAATCTGAAAAAACCTAAATGTGTTTTGCCCTGTCAGCTTGGGGGAAATGATTGTATGCTTTCCTAGCTACAAAAATATAGAAAATGTCTTATATTTATTCTAGAAATTCCCAGCAGAGCCTCAATTAACCAATATGTAAGGGAGTGTGTAACCAAGATAATATCCCATTAGTATAGGAATGTGAAAGTGCTTTGTGGGCTTATAGATAGTTATAAATTAAAATGCTTTTATTTAATGTCTTCACTGTATTATGATTCTGAATGTGTGGCCACATCTGCTGAATGTGTCACACAGATATGCATACAAATATAGATGTGTGATTAAACTTGACTGAAGTGGAGTTAATTAACCTGGATAAGAGAAAAATCATGGAGTATTTGAAAGGTGTCTTTATTTTTGATAAGGGGCTAATAAAGGAATAATAATTAGGAAAGTTATGTGTATTTTTGGGACTTGAAGTGTTCTCAATGAATCCTTGCTTTTATGATCCTGATTTTTGTTCAACATAAGATTTTCTTATAATCTGAGCAGTCTAAAAATTAATGGCATTGCATCATGAGTTAATGACCTTCCTGTCACTAGAGGTAATCAAGCAGTGTCAGGTGAGCCCTTAGTAGGGATATTATGGATTTGTTTTGAGCACTGTAAAGGTAGATTATACACATATTTTAGTAATATGGCCCTGTTTTTCTAAGTAAACTGATCAAAAATTATTGGTCTGACAATATTTTTTTCTGTTTTTTTATGCCTTGCAAAGATGTAAAAATTAATTCCTAAGTTGTTTGCAATGGCCTAATTTTTATAATTAAAATGGATAATATTCATGTTAAATGTGTAGATTTCTATACATTCATAATAATTATTACTGATTTGCATTTATTAATTTAATCCTACACAAACTTGTTAATGTTTGCTTTATGGGAAGCATTTTCCAAACATCATTCTTGATTTTGGGGATACATACAGACCCAGACCCAGAACTTACAGATCTTACAAATTTGTGGAAGGAGACAGACAGTAAGATAATAAGCAGATGAGGAAACCAATAATCACAGAATACGCTGGAAGAAGATAAGCCAAATGATGGGTTAGAAAGAATAGCTGAGAGACCAGTTTAAATAAGGTAATCAAGGGATAATTTTCAGAGGGGCTGACGTTTAAAGTGAACCTGAAGTATAAGAAAGAGCCAGCTCCTTTAGATAACGCTATGAGTTATTAATCCTTTCAATAACTCTACAAATTAAGAACTGTCATTATCTTAATTTCATGAAGGAAGAAAGTGAGGCTTAAAAAAGATTTACATGCACGACTTTAAAAGTTAGAAGGTGGTAAAACTTGGATTAGCCCCTGGATCTATAAGACCCTACACTGTGATACAGCTGGAATCCATGATCTTTAGCTTTTAGGTCCCTTCCAACCCTGCATTTCTGTGACTGAAACTGACTGGTATGACTTTGACAGACTGAACATACAGGGCCATGCTTTTCCATGTGTGTGGGCTAGTGAATTAACTACTGGCTTCAAGATAACCAAACTTTAATAAAGGAGTTAGAATACTAGGATTCAGAAATATATCCTAAAGCAAATGCAGCAAATTATTTTTTTTTAATTTAGGACATGGTTTGTAGTGGACACACAGACATGGTAAAATACAATCACTTTCTCAATTTTCCTTGATGCCACTTTGATAATGCTGATGTATTATAAGTACATTCAGTGGTTTGGTAAAAGTGATTTAAGTACCCAGAAAGAATATAACTTCCCAAGGCAAGCAGTCTCTTCTTTTGAGTTTAACTCATCATTAAAATTGGAGTGATGACAGAGAAAAAATCTGGATGAAAATGAGACCCATGCTATAGGCCCAGCTACCTCTGCAACTATGTAACGTGGGGAAGCCACTTCTTACTCTGAACTCAGTTTTTAAGACATGCTCAAAGATATTCTGATAAAGTGACAAACCTGCTAGAGACAATCTCTTCTTCCTATTTAAAAAGCTAAAGGAAACAGCAGATACACATTTGAGTCAAGATTCATGTGAAATAGATTTTTAAGGATGTGTGCCATCCTAAAAGAAGGTTGCTAAAAAAGGGCATGATGCATCTAGTAGACACCTGGCAAATAAGGGAATTGGCAAGGCTGATTTTGAGACTTCTGGGAAACTCTCCCCAAATAGGAAATAGGTCAAGTTGTTCATTTTACAAATTTGATTCCATATATATAAATATAAATATAAATATATAAATATGCATTTGCAGGTATCCCACTCTCTCTTTAAATGCAAAACACATGCACAAAGGTGCACACACACACATGCACACACATATCCCACATATTAGCATTACTTTAAATTTTGGAATGCTGTGTGTTTAGCCTTAATACATACATCCTCACAATAAAAATGCACAGAAGCTTATTTTGCTTTAGATAACTAAAAGGCTGTGTCCTAGATTTCATTTCTCCTTACACAAAGGCTCACTGGGAATACTTAGTGAAAGATAAAGCTTTCCAAAGGGCTCCTGATCGACCAATCATATAGATTAATATGATCTTTACCTATTCAACATACTGATATTGAGTTACTTCTGTGATCATGGCATTGTTCTAGGAATGTGGAATTCTAAGCAGGCATAATACCTTGCTGCTATGCTCAATAAACACAGTTTTGATATGCAAAGGATGTCAAACCCACACTGTTTTTTGTTATTGCAATGATATTGAATAATGCAAACATTGAACATCTACTTTGTGTGTAACTGTGATGACAGGGCTTGCTCATGTTATTCAAGCAGACTGTGCTTCACAATGCCAAGGGGACACTATTTATCTTATATATATTATGTAAATGGTGGCCTCTTGAATTACAGAATGCTGTGGTTCTCCTTTATTTGGTTAATTATTTCAAAAATCACATTAAGTAGTTTTGTTATCTCTTTTTCTAAAGGGAGAAGAGTAAGCCTCACTAACTTTACAATCACATAGTGACTAAATGGCAGAGCTGGGTTGGGACTTGGATCTGGATGATGCTAAAGCCTCAGTCATTTCATTACTCCATTATGTCTGTTGTGTCTGTTGTTATAATGTTATCAAAATGGCATACAACGCATAATTTAAGTGCCCCTAGGTTCTTTTATAAGTTGAAATCATACTTTAGAGGCCATTTACATCATTTATCTTTGGAGAAAAATAATATCCTGCAAATGCTCTCAGCTTTTGGTATATGCAGAAGCTGAAGGTCCTGCCCCTTTTACAGATGAGCATTCACAAATTGAAAAGCTCTGTAAATGTTCTATTAACCTTCTTCTAAGAAGTTACCCAGGAAATCTCTTAGTGATATACTATCTGAGTCACAAATGCATATTTCTACCCTTTTCCTAGCCACATTATGGAGAGAAGGAAAAAACTGACTGGATTAGAGGTGTCACTCCAAAACTTTGGAACTTACAAATGAAAATTTAACCTCCTGTTGAATTTAAGACCTATGTAAGTTAGATAAATATTATTGAAGTAAACTCATTAACACTCCTGGGAAACATCTCAAAGCCATATACCATGATGAGTCACTAAGTTTGTGATTGTATATGTATAAATTTTTACTATATGTAAGTGTATGAAATAAACCATGATTATAGTTCAAGAAAATATTAGAAAATACTGTATTATATTTAGTTTTCTTCTAAGAAAGATCTTAACTGCATTTTGTCTATTGCAATTGCATAAATTCATGTAACATTGATAATATACATATTTCATGTTCTTTTTAAAACAAAACTTGTAAATCCATAAATATAAACCTCAACCAATTTTTCTACCCTCCCTCTAAGACCAATTAAGTGTCTCAATAGTCATTGTGTCTTACTAGACATTTTTAAATTTTCTGAAATTTTTTTATTTTTATTTTTATTTTTATTTATTTATTTTTATTATACTTTAAGTTTTAGGGTACATGTGCACAACGTGCAGGTTTGTTACATATGTATACATGTGCCATGTTGGTGTGCTGAACCCATTAACTCGTCATTTAACATTAGATATATCTCCTAATGCTATCCCTCCCACCTCCCACCACCCCACAACAGGCCCCGCTGTGTGATGTTCCCCTTCCTGTGTCCATGTGTTCTCATTGTTCAATTCCCACCTACGAGTGAGAACATGTGGTGTTTGGTTTTTTGTCCTTGCGATAGTTTGCTGAGAATGATGGGTTCCAGCTTCATCCATGTCCCTACAAAGGACATGAACTCATCATTTTTCATGGCTGCATAGTATTCCATGGTGTATATGTGCCACATTTTCTTCATCCAGTCTATCATTGTTGGATATTTGGGTTGGTTCCAAGTCTTTGCTATTGTGAATAGTGCCACAATAAACATACATGTGCATGTGTCTTTATAGTGGCATGATTTATAATCCTTTGGATATACACCCAGTAATGGGATGACTGGGTCAAATGGTATTTCTAGTTCTAGATCCCTGAGGAATCGCTACACTGACTTCCACAATGGTTGAACTAGTTTGCAGTCCCACCAACAGTGTAAAAGTGTTCCTATTTCTCCACATCCTCTCCAGCACCTGTTGTTTCCTGACTTTTTAATGATTGCCATTCTAACTGGTATGAGCTGGTATCTCATTGTGGTTTTGATTTGCATTTCTCTGATGGCAAGTGATGATGAGCATTTTTTCATGTGTCTGTTGGCTGCATAAATGTCTTCTTTTGAGAAGTGTCTGTTCATATCCTTCACCCACTTTTTGATGGGGTTGTTTGTTTTTTTCTTGTAAATTTGTTTGAGTTCATTGTAGATTCTGGATATTAGCCCTTTGTCAGATGAGTAGATTGCAAAAATTTTCTCCCATTCTGTAGGTTGCCTGTTCACTCTGATGGTAGTTTCTTTTGCTGTGAAGAAGCTCTTTAGTTTAACAAGATCCCATTTGTCAATTTTGGCTTTTGTTGCCATTACTTTTGGTGTTTTAGACATGAAGTCCTTGCCCATGCCTATGTCCTGAATGGTATTGCCTAGGTTTTCTTCTAGGGTTTTTATGGTTTTAGGTCTAACATTTAAGTCTTTAATCCATCTTGAATTAATTCTTGTATAAGGTGTAAGGAAGGGATCCAGTTTCAGCTTTCTACATATGGCTAGCCAGTTTTCCCAGCACCATTTATTAAATAGGGAATCCTTTTCTCATTTCTTGTTTTTGTCAGGTTTGTCAAAGATCAGGTAGTGATAGATATGTGGCATTATTTCTGAGGGCTCTGTTCTTTTCCATTGATCTATATCTCTGTTTTGGTACCAGTACCATGCTGTTTTGGTTACTGTAGCCTTGTAGTATAGTTTGAAGTCAGGTAGAGTGATGCCTCCAGCTTTGTTCTTTTGGCTCAGGATTGACTTGGCAATATGGGCTCTTTTTTGGTTCCATATGAACTTTAAAGTAGTTTTTTCCAATTCTGTGAAGAAAGTCATTGGTAGCTTGATGGAGACGGCATTGAATCTATAAATTACCTTGGGCAGTATGGCCATTTTCACGATATTGATTCTTCCTACCCATGAGCATGGAATGTTCTTCCATTTGTTTATATCCTCTTTTATTTCTTTGAGTAGTGGTTTGTAGTTCTCCTTGAAGAGGTCCTTCACTTCCCCTGTAAGTTGGATTCCTAGGTATTTTATTCTCTTTGAAGCAATTGTGAATGGGAGTTCACTCATGAGTTGGCTCTCTGTCTGTTATTGGTGTATAAGAATGCTTGTGATTTTTGTACATTGATTTTGTATCCTGAGACTTTGCTGAAGTTGCCTATCAGCTTAAGGAGATTTTTGGGCTGAGACGATGGGGTTTTCTAGATACATAATCATGTCATCTGCAAACAGGGACAATTTGACTTCCTCTTTTCCTAATTGAATACCCTTTATTTCCTTCTCCTGACTGATTGTCCTGGCCAGAACTTCCAACACTATGTTGAATAGCAGAGGTGAGAGAGGGCATCCCTGTCTTGTGCCAGTTGTCAAAGGGAATGCTTCCAGTTTTTGCCCATTCAGTATGATATTGGCTGTGGGTTTGTCATAGATAGCTCTGATTATTTTGAGATATGTCCCATCAATACCTAATTTATTGAGAGTTATTAGCATGAAGGGTTGTCGAATTTTGTCTAAGGCCTTGTCTGCACCTATTGAGATAATCATGTGGTTTTTGTCATTGGTTCTTTTTATATTCTGGATTACGTTTATTGATTTGCATATGTTGAACCAGCCTTGCATCCCAGGGATGAAGCCCACTTGATCATGGTGGATAAGCTTTTTGATGTGTTGCTGGATTCACTTTGCCAGTATTTTATTGAGGATTTTTGCATTAATGTTCATCAGGGATATTGGCCTAAAATTCTCTTTTTTTGTTGTGTCTCTGCCAGGATTTGGTATCAGGATGATGCTGGCCTCATAAAATGACTTAGGGAGGATTCCCTCTTTTTCTATTGATTGAAATAGTATCAGAAGGAATGGTACCAACTGCTCCTTGTACTTCTGGTAGAATTTGGCTGTGAATCCATCTGGTCCTGGACTTTTTTTGGTTGGTAAGCTATTAATTATTGCCTCAATTTCAGAGCCTGTTTTTGGTCAATCAGATAGTCAGCTTCTTCCTGTTTTAGTCTTGGGAGGGTGTATATGTCGAGGAATTTATCCATTTCTTCTAGATTTTCCAGTTTATTTGCATAGAGGTGTTTATAGTATTCTCCGATGGTAGTTTGTGTTTCTGTGGGATCGGTGGTGATATCCCCTTTATCATTTTTTATTGCGTCTATTTGATTCTTCTCTCTTTTCTTCTTTATTAGTCTTACTAGTGGTCTACCAATTTTGTTGATCTTTTCAAAAAACCAGCTCCTGGAATCACTGATTTTTTGAAGGGTTTTTTGTGTCTCTATTTCCTTCAGTTCTGCTCTGATCTTAGTTATTTCTTGCCTTTTGCTAGCTTTTGAATGTGTTCGCTCTTGCTTCTCAAGTTCCTTTAATAGTGATGTTAGGGTGTCAATTTTAGATCTTTCCTGCTTTCTCTTGTGGGCATTTAGTGCTATAAATTTCCCTCTACACACTGCTTTGAATGTGTCCCAGAGATTCTGGTATGTTGTGTCTTTGTTCTCGTTGGTTTCAAAGAACATCTTTATTTCTGCCTTCATTTCATTATGTACCCAGTAGTCATTCAGGAGTAGATTGTTCATTTTCCATGTAGTTGAGTGGTTTTGAGTGAGTTTATTAATCCTGAGTTCTAATTTGATTGCACTGTGGTCTAAGAGACAGTTTGTTATAATTTCTTTTCTTTTACATTTGCTGAGGAGTGCTTTACTTCCAAGTATTTGGTCAATTTTGGAATAGGTGTGGTGTGGTGCTGAAAATAATGTATATTCTGTTGATTTGGGGTTGAGAGTTCTGTAGATGTCTACTAGGTCCACTTGGTGCAGAGCTGAGTTCAGTTCCTGGGTATCCTTGTTGACTTTCTGTCTCATTGATCTGTCTAATGTTGACAGTGGAGTGTTAAAGTCTCCCATTATTATTGTGTGGGAGTCTAAGTCTCTTTGTAGGTCTCTAAGGACTTGCTTTATGAATCTGAGTGCTCTTGTATTGGGTGCATATATATTTAGGATAGTTAGCTCTTCTTGTTGAATTGATCCCTTTACCATTATGTAATGGTCTTCTTTGTCTCTTTTGATCTTTGTTAGTTTAAAGTCTGTTTTATCAGAGACTAGGATTGCAACCCCTGCCTTTTTTTGTTTTCCATTGGCTTGGTAGATCTTCCTCCATCCCTTTATTTTGAGCCTATGTGTGTCTCTGCATGTGAGATGGGTTTCCTGAATACAGCACACTGATGGGTCTTGACTCTTTATCCAATTTGCCAGTCTGTGTCTTTTAATTGGAGCATTTAGCCCATTTACATTTAAGGTTAATATTGTTATGTGTGAATTTGATCCTGTCATTATGATGTTAGCTGGTTATTTTGCTCGTTAGTTGATGCAGTTTCTTCCTAGCCTTGATGGTCTTTACAATTTGGCATGGTTTTGCAGTGGCTGGTACCAGTTGTTCCTTTCCATGTTTAGCGCTTCCTTCAGGAGCTCTTTTAGGGCAGGCCTGGTGGTGACAAAATCTCTCAGCATTTGCTTGTCTGTAAAGGATTTTATTTCTCCTTCAGTTATGAAGCTTAGTTTGGCTGGATATGAAATTCTGGGTTGGAAATTCTTTTCTTTAAGAATGTTGAATATTGGCCCCAACTTTCTTCTGGCTTGTAGAGTTTCTGCTGAGAGATCAGCTGTTAGTCTGATGGGCTTCCCTTTGTGGGTAATCCAACCTTTCTCTCTGGCTGCCCTTAACATTTTTTCCTTCATTTCAACTTTGGTAAATCTGACAATTATGTGTCTTGGAGTTGCTCTTCTCAAGGAGTATCTTTGTGGCATTCTCTGTATTTCCTGAATTTGAACGTTGGCCTGCCTTGCTAGATTGGGGAAGTTCTCCTGGATAATATCCTGCAGAGTGTTTTCCAACTTTGTTCCATTCTCCCCCTCACTTTCAGGTACGCTAATCAGATGTAGATTTGGTCTTTTCACATAGTCCCATATTTCTTGGAGGGTTTGTTCATTTCTTTTTATTCTTTTGTCTCTCAACTTCCCTTCTCACTTCATTTCATTCATTTGATCTTCCATCACTGATACCTTTTATTCCAGTTGATTGAATCGGCTACTGAGGCTTGTGCATTCATCACGTAGTTCTTGTGCCGTGGTTTTCAGCTCCATCAGGTCCTTGAAGGACTTCTCTGCATTGGTTATTCTAGTTAGCCATTTGTGTAATCTGTTTTCAAGGTTTTTAACTTCTTTGCCATGGGTTCGAACTTCCTCCTTTAGCTCAGAGTAGTTTGATCGTCTGAAGCCTTCTTCTCTCAACTCATAAAAGTCATTCTCCGTCCAGCTTTGTTCCATTGCTGGTGAGGAGCCGCATTCCTTTGGAGGAAGAGAGGCTCTCTGATTTTTAGAATTTTCAGTTTTTCTGCTCTGTTGTTTCCCCATCTTTGTGGTTTTATCTGCATTTGGTCTTTGATGATGGTGATGTACAGATGGGGTTTTGGTGTGGATGTCCTTTCTGTTTGTTAGTTTTCCTTCTAAGAGTCAGGACCCTCAGCTGTAGGTCTGTTGGAGTTTGCCGGAGGTCCACTCCAGACCCCATTTGCCTGGGTATCAGCGTCAGAGGATGCAGAACAGCGGATATTGGTGAACAGCAAATGTTGCTGCCTGATCGTTCCTCTGGAAGTTTTGTCTCAGAGGAGTACTCGGCTGTGTGAGGTGTCAGTCTGCCCCTACTCGGGGGTGCCTCCCAGTTGGGCTACTCGGGGTTCAGGGACCCTCTTGAGGACGCAGTCTGTACATTCTCAGATCTCAAGCTGCGTGCTGGGAGAATCACTACTCTCTTCCAAGCTGTCAGACAGGGACATTTAGGTCTGCAGAGGTTTCTGCTGCCTTTTGTTTGGCTATGCCCTGCCCCCAGAGGTGGAGTCTACAGAGGCAGGCAGGCCTCCTTGAGCTGTGGTGGGCTCCACCCAGTTCGAGCTTCCCAGCAGCTTTGTTTACCTACTCAAGTCTCGGCAATGGCAGGCGCCCCTCCCCCAGCCTTGCTGCTGCCTTGCAGTTTGATCTCAGACTACTGTGCTAGCAATGAGTGAGGCTCCATGGGCGTAGGACCCTCCAAGCCAGGCATGGGATATAATCTTCTTGTGTGCCGTTTGCTAAGACCATTGGAAAAGCGCAGTATTAGGGTGGGAGTGACCTGATTTTCCAGGTGCCATCTGTCACCCCTTTCCTTGGCTAGGAAAGGGAATTCCCTGACCCCTTGCACTTCCTGGGTGAGGTGATGCCTCGCCTTGCTCCGGCTCAAGCTCGGTGCACTGCACCCACTGTCCTGCACCCACTGTCTGACAATCCCCAGTGAGATGAACCTGGTACCTCAGTTGGAAATGCAGAAATCATTCTTCTGTGTTGCTCACGCTGGGAGCTGTAGACTGGAGCTGTTCCTATTCAGCCGTCTTGGCTCCCCACCACCAAACTTTCTGAATTTTTAATGAATATGGCTTACTAAAACATAGACTTACCCTTTCATCAAAGGCGTATTTGCTTTTTTAGACCACAATATCAAGTGACATTAAAGCTACATTTTTAAATTGCTGCATTGCATATGTGTTAGCTGTATTTCCATAACCAGATGATAATTTCTTAAAGAACATCTCCGGGTTTTTTTCATCTATGTGTCTTTTGATAGAAGTCTTCCTACTTCCTAATCCTTTCCTTTTTTTGTCTTGGGTAATTTTTTGAATAAAATAGATGCTCAATATATACTGCTGAATTGAATCATGTTATTTTTCCATCTCTTATAACACTCATGGCAGTCCATATCTCAGAGAAGGTACACAATACGTTTTTTATTGATTGATGATAGGTATATCCTAAATCTATGCATGAGAGTCTTTTCCTTAGTAGAATTGCATTAATATTCCTATCAGATTGTATAGAGACCAACAAGTTTTAAATACAGGTCTTATTTTGATCCTTAATATTGTGTGACTAAAAGATAATATGATTCCTAAGTTTTAAAATAGAATTATAAAGGGAAGACATGAAGGAAAAATAGGGAATGCACAAAAAATTTCTATGTTCCATTAAAATAAATGATTTTCAGTTGTTTATTATATTTTCTAAGACACTAAAAGTGTGGCTTGTCATATTCAAGCGTTGCCTTTCAATGCCTTTGTGAATTTAGGCAAAGCATTAACCTTTTTGATTTTCAGTTGTCTTCTTTAAAAATAGTATAATAATTGTATATGTGATACAATGTTGTGCTGAGAATTAAGTAAACTGCCCTTTGTAAAAGAACTGAAAAGAGAACTCACAAAGGCAGAAGGTCAAAAGATATGAGTCATGGGTTTCCTCCCACTCTGCTATAGTTACATAATATACATAATATAACTGATCAAGAGAAGATAATAACTCATTGAAAATTGATGTGTAGGACTGGTCTATATGCTTCATTATGGGAAAAAAAAGTTGTTCTCTGTATGAAATTATCTGTGAATATACCACCCTAAATGTATACACTGTCATTAGAAAATTTTCATTGTTTTAGATACTGATCTGCTGTTTATTTATTGCTTGTTTTTGTATGTTTCTTTGCTAGTTAATAGCCTTCTTACTGTCAGTGTTTTTCATTCTTTTCAATGTATTCTATATAATTATCATATAAAATTTTTGAATGTTGACTTCAAATATTGTCCATTGAAATCTATACTAGGGCAAATTTAGTCAAAGCAAGCCACAATTTATCAACTTGATAGTTAAAATCACAATGGAAAGTTTTTAAAGAATAGAATCTTACCTAAAAGATTGATTTAAAAGGAGATGATAAATAGCTGACCCAGAGAAGATAAAATTCCTCATGTAAGCAGGCACGAAAGCAAGATAATTATTTCCAACCCCTACCCTCAAAGCTTCAATGGGGATGTTACAGTAACATCCATGTTAAATGTCTGTTATATAAAGAAAATAACACCTACAAAGTGTTAGTTGTTCCTTATGTTATTTCATTTTGCATTAACCGTTCATATAGTAATAATGTCAGGAGCAAAACTGCACTTTGTTCTGCCTATCTCACCTCCTAGTTGTATACTCCCTAAATGGCATAGGTAATGCACCCGTAATACCCAGCCCAGTGCTTTGCTAGAAGTTCAATAAATGTTTGTTGAATTGAATTAGCACATTAACATGTAAATTGTCAGATTGCAGAGTTTACCACCTGTAAATCTCATTTTAAAATCTAGGTTTATGCAAATTTGCATATTATTTAGAAAATGAATAAGTTACACTCAAATCAAGGTCTAATTTATATGCACTTCCACAAACTCATTTGAATAGTTTGAAGTATTACCACTGACCAACAAGTTGGATAGGGCAAGAGCACTTCTTCATTTTGGGATTGACAATTTTTTAGAAGATCATCTAAATGTTTGTTTATTTACCATGTAATATTTTTTCCAAATGAACCTTCTTCGGAGGTTTTTAATTTATTTTTCATTTACCACTTTTTGAGTTCTGTTTTGTTTCTTTCATTTATTTATTTTTGGTTCTAATGTATTTAGTTTTGACAGACAGATCTTGAATGCTTCTCCAGCAAATAAAGCTTATCAGTCCTTGTTAATAAATAATGAAAGCAACTTAAGTAGTTAAAACATGGACTTTTTTGCTTAACTAGTATTTTATTGAGTAGTGATTTTTCATTCAAGAAGGAAAGTATGCTTTTTTTGGCTTGTGGCATTATGTCTACATGTACTTTTTCTTTTGAGCTGATATAAATTTATCACAGGTGTTGGTCTCTTTAGTTTTCAATTTAAATAGAAGTGAAACTGGCTTCTTCACAATTTATGTTATCTTCCTTCCTATTCTTTTACTCAGGTACGTAGATTCTACAAATCTTTATATAAAGTACTAAGGAGAAACATCCAACAGAGTATTTATTCAACTGTAGTGACTATTCAATGTGAAAAAAAATCCTTGCTTTTTCTGATGCAGTGCCCTTAAACTGAAGTTGTGTGTCTGATTAAGTAACAACAATACCTATGTTTCATATTTCAGTGGATATAATTTCACCTTTATCTACTCAAGTAAATACAGAAACTTCAAGTGCACGACATTGGAATTATTTTAGAACATGATAGTTTGCAAGATCTTTTTGACAGGGTTTCCAAAGAAACAACAAAAAAATAAGGTGGATACATTCTAATTTTAAAACAAGTTACGCTTTTAAGCGACTTAGAGAAGCCACATTGAGATTTAAGAATTTTAAAATTTTTGAGAAAAATTGCAGCTCTGTTGCCAATCAGTGAAGACATTGAATAATGTGTTTTCACTGAGAATAAAGAATGAAACTCAGGATACAAGGAACAAGCTGTAGAGAGGAAGAGTTGTATTTTAAAGGCTACACAGTTTCAAGGTGTTCAGCTGATGAAATCTTTGTCTTGTCACCAAGCTTCTTTCACTGTTTCTATAATCACAATGCAGTTTTTATACTCTGCAATTATCTTTAAATGTGAGGATATGCAACTTCTTATTAAACTAAAGGAAAGATAGTAGCTGTGCACATTAAAGAACCTATGAACTCCAATAGCCTGTTTTGATTTCTAAATGATTTTGACACTCTCTTGAATAATGATTGCCCCATTATGTTCCTTGCATTTGGTGAGTTTCTTAAAGGAAAAATGCTGACAGCATCCTCTTAGTAACTTTCCTCACTGAAGCATGTTTAGCGAGAGACTCCATCTGAAGATGATCTGCTCCTACGTGTCCAGCTACAGGAAAAAGTTACTCAGCACTACAAGGGCTAGCTATTTTAGCTGACAAAAAAGAAAGACATTCTACATCTCAGTCTCTGTCAATGGCTATAGTTTCAGCCAAAGATGTTGAACTATCTGATAGAAGACTGTTTTAATCTGAAAGAATAACTAAGCTAGTAGGGTAGAAGTAACTGATATACTTGCATATCTCTATATTTGCTGGACTGAAAACAAGCCCTCTCCCTCCTGACAGTGCACACACATATATAACTCCATACACTAAAATAAATCACTCCGTTAACCAGGATTGCCATACAATATATGTAACTCTATTTAGTCTGTATTTTTTTCTGCCTTGTATAATTATAAGCTATTAACATGTTTGACAGATTGTAAGCTCTTTGAGATCAAGTATTAGTGTTTTTTACACTTTATCTTTTCTTTTTCTGTGTGTGAATAATGTATATGTATAGAACACATAAACACATAAAAATATACACACGTACATATAGAAATTAAACAGAATACATACATGTGAATTTATTGTAAATACACACACATACACACACACACACAGAGAGAGAGAGAGAGAGAGGGAAACATACTCAGACATATTGGAGGTTCAGTTCCAGACAACCACAATAAAGGGAATATCAAAATAAAGCAAGTCATAGAATTTTTTCGGTTTCCCAGTGTATATAAAAGTCCTGTTTACACTATACTTACACTATATGTAGGTTTGTTTGTTTGTTTGTTTGTCTGTTTGTTTGTTTTGAGATGGAGTCTCGCTCTGTCACCCAGGCTGGAGTGCAGTGGTGAGATCTCGGCTCACTGCAACCTCCGCCTCCCAAATTCAAGCAATTCTCCCACCTCAGCCTCCCGAGTAGCTGGGATTACAGGCGCATGGCACCATGCCCAACTAATTTTTGTATTTTTAGTAGAGATGGGGTTTCACCATGTTGGTCAGGCTGGTCTCGAACTCCTGACCTCAGGTGATTCACCCGCCTTGGCCTCCCAAAGCGCAGGGAGCACAGGCGTGAGCCACTGCTCCTGGCCTATACTGTAGTTTTTAAGTGTGCGATGGCATTGTGTCTCAGAAACAAAGTATCTACCTCAGTTACAAAGACTTTATTGATAAAATGGTCATAAGCTTTTAGCAAGTGTTAATCTTGTTGCTGGTGGAGAGTTTTGCCTCCATGTTGATGGCTGCTGACTGACCAGGGTGGTAGGTCCTGAAGGTTGGAGTGGCTGTGGCAATTTCTGGAAATAAGACAACAATGAAATTTGTCACTGGGTTGAGTCTTACTTTCACAAAAATTTCTCTGTAGAATGCAATGCTGTTTGATAGAATTTTACCCACAGTAGAACTTCTTGCAAAATTAGACTCAATCTTCTTAAACTCTGTGGCTACTTTATCAACTAAGTTCATGTAATATTCTAAATCCTTTATTGTCATTTGGACAATAGGCACAGCATCTTTGCCAGGAGTAGATTCTATCTCAAGAAACCACTTTTCTTGAAAATGTGCAGACAGCTCTTGGAGAAAGTGGCCAGGAATAAGGCCCTGCTCAGGCCACTGCCCCCACCTGGGAAACAGGAGCAATCTGCCCTATGCCTAGTGCTGTGCTGGACTTGGGGAAATCAGAAGGGTGGGATTTGTCCTTGCCTTGCTTTCAAGGCATGTGTAGCACGTGTAATATTTTAGCAGCAGTGGAAAGCAGAGCATATGGAACGTGTAGTTTCTGCCTGTTAGTTTTTCCTTGTTGCCTCAATCCCTGGGGTAGGAAGGGTTTTCTTGTGCTCAGAAGAAACCATTTGAAAACTCAGCAATAGAGTTTGTTCACATGACCCTTTTCAGGATGCCTCAAAGATGGTACTTTTTTTTTTTTCCTGCCTTCTATATGTGAGCCCTGAGAATCTTCTCCCAGCTCAAGGGGATATTCTGGGATAAGGGTAGGGGACTTAGACACGTGAAACTGGGAGTGGAGAGAAGAGCTATTTCTCTTTTTATTTTGTCTAGAAGAGCTTTTTAAGAATGCATGTTTTTCCTGGTTGAAATTAAGTAGGAAATGAGGCTACACTTCATCAGATATGGTACAATCAAGTTTGGGGTTTTCCCACCAAAACATTCAAATCCTCCCCGCCTATTCCACCCCCTTTAATTGGTGCCTGCTGGAGAGGATGTCTATATATACACTCCTGTACAACTTCAGACTTGGGCTCTTTTCTCTCACTCCCAAGATGAGTCTCATCAGACTGAGTGGATAGGGGGTGGGCGTGTGCACGTGCGCACAAATGTGCTTAGCTTGCTTGTATTTTTTGACATGAGGGGCCTGCAGCTTTCCTCTTGAGCGTGGTTTATCATGTCTCACTGGCTGGCTTCATCCTTTGAACATCGACTTTTAAGTCCGATACAGGTAGGGGCTTGATGAAAGTGTGTTCCGCACTCCCATCTGCTACCTAAAATCAAGACATAAAGAAGGCTTTGCCTAGCATAGGACTTTAGTTTGGGAAGGATCTAGACCGAGAGAGAGAGAGATAACATAAACCTAAACAGGGAGGGGAGACCTTAGGAAAAGGAGAATGGTGCCTAACCTGCAAACCAGTGACCTGCCTTTTGAGGGGGAATGGGTGGTGGTGGCTCTGAGCTACAGTCATGAGCTTTTGTGTCTACTGATTCTCACCAACTTGCCACTCCCCCAGAATTATAACAGGGACCAATATTTTTAACTTTGCATATTTGTTTGTGGGTAGATTTCCCCCTCTTCTTATTCTATCCTGAGATCATGGGCAAAGCTCTTTATTTCGGGAGAGAAGAAAAACTGTTGGAACCACACAAAATAATATTTTCTTTTATAACACTTGAAATTTGAAAAAAAAATATTTTGCCAGCAGATGTGCTATTTATTTATTTGCTATGTATAAGGAAGCCTAAAAAACAGAAAGCTGTGTAGATTGGGTTTAGTCATTAATTGGTTTGGGAGCCTTCTATGTGTGACCTACGACTTCTCTGGGTTCTGTGTATCTTGTCTGAATTAATTGCCTGGAAAGAAGCTATGGTAGCTTTCAAATAGGAGGTGATTTTCAGAAATTTGTATAACTTGCAATTGCCAGCCCAATAAAATACCTGGTTGAAATACAAAAACAAAAACAGAAAGAAACCACTTTCTTTGATCATCCCTCAGAAGTAACTCCTCATTGGATGAAATTTGATTCTGACATTGCAGCAATTCAGTCCAATCTTCAGGCTCCACTTCCAGTTCTAGTTCTCTTGGTACTTCAGTCATTTTTGCAGTTACTTCTGCCACTGGTATTTTATTAAATATATATTTTTTAATTTTAAAATTTGGTGAGTACATTTTAGGTATATATATATATATTTATGAAGTACATGAGATGTTTTGATACAGGCATGTAATGCATAGTAATCACATCATGGAGAAAAGCTTTTATCCTTTGTCTTACAAACAATCTAATTATACTCTTACTTATTTTAAAAGATACAACTAAATTATCATTGATTCCAGTTACCCTGTTGCAACTGTAGGTCTTAGTCATTCTTTCTAACTATTTTTTGTACCCCATTAACCATGCCACTGAAGTCTTGAACCCCTCAAAGTCATCCAGAAGGTTTGAAATCATCTTACAAACTAATTAATGTTGATAGTTTGACCTCTTCCTATGAATCACAATTGTTCTCAATGGCATCTAGAATGGTGAATCCTTTTCAAAAGGTTCTAAAATTATTTTGCTTACATCCACCAGATAAATCATTATCTATGTCAGCTGTAGTCTTACAAAATGTATTTCTTAATTAACAAGACTTGAAAATCAAAAGTATTCCTTCATCTATGGGTTGCAGAATGGATGATGTGTTAGCAGGTCTGAAAACAACATTAATCTACTTGTACAGCAGAGCTGCTGGGTGAATAGGAGCATTTTCAATCAGCAGTAACGTTTTTAAATAAATTATTTTTTTCCTTAGCAGTAGGTCTCAACATTGGGCTTAAAAACTGTGCTGTAAACAGATGTGCTGCTATCCAGCCTTTGTTGTTCCATTTATAGAGCACAAGTGGAGTAGATTTAGCATCATTCTTATTGGTTCTGAGATTTTTAGAATGGTAAATGGGCATTAGCATCAACATAGAGACACCAGCTGCATTAGCCCTGTTACAAGAGAGTCAGTCTGTCCTTTGAACCTTTAAAGCCAGGCATTGACTTCTCTCTAGCTGTGAAAGTCCTAGATGGCATCTTCTTCCAACATAAAGCTGTTTCATCTACATTGAAAATCTGTTGTTTGATGTAGCTACCTTCATTAATGATCTTAACTAGATCTTCCGGGTAACTTGCTGCAGTTTCTACTTGAGCGCTTGCTATTTCAACTTGTACTTTTATGTTTTAAAGACAGCTTATTTTCTCAAACCCCCTAGACCAAACTCTGCTAGCTTTAAACTTTTCTTCTGCAGGTTCCTCACCTCTCTCAGCCTTCATAGAATTAAAGATAGTTAGAGCCTAGGTATGGGTTAGGCTATACTTAAAGGAATGTTTGGCTGTTTTGATATATTCAGACCTCTGAAACTTTCTCCGTATCAGCAGTCAGGCTGTTTCATTTTATTAGCATTCATGGTCACCGGAGGAGCACTTTTAATTCCCTTCAAAAACTTTTCCTCTGCCTTCACAACTTTGTTAAATATTTGGCACAAGAGGTCTAGCTTTTGGCCTATCTGGGCTGGCTTTTGATATGCCATCCTCTTTAAACTTTATCATTTCTAGCTTTGATTTAAATTGAATGTAGGGTGACTCTTCCTTTAACTGGAACACTTAGAAGCTATTGTAAGGTCATTCGTTGATCTAATTTCAATATTGTTGTGTCTCAGGAAATAGGGATGCCTGAGAAGAGGAGGACAGATGAGAGAACAGCCCATCATTGAAACTGTCAGACACATACAACATTTATCAATTAAGTTTACTATCTTATATGGTGTGTTCACAGTGCCCCAAAACAATAACAACAGTAACATTAAATATCACTGATCACGAGCACCATAACAGATATAATAATAATGAAAGCATTTCAAATATTGTGAGAATTACAAAAATGTGACACAAAGACATGCTGTTGGAAAAACACCACCGATCGAATTGTTCAATGCAAGGTTGCCACAAAATTCCAAAATGTAAACATTGCAATATGCAATATCTATAAAATGCAATAAAGCAAAGCTCAACAAAAAGAGGTGTGTGTGTGTGTGTGTGTGTGTGTGTGTGTGTGTGTGTGTGTGTGTAGAGAGAGAGAGAGAGAGATTGTCTTTTCTTATATATCAACCTATTAAAAGGCAATAGCATCATTTTACTTACCAGGGAGTTACCCCTGTTTCAGTGAGAGTGGTAAATCAGATTAAACGTTATATATTCATATATAAATTAACACCATAATACAAGCATTTGAGTTCACTCCCTCTGTCTCCCCTTTAAAAGAGAAAAATCAATTCTTTGAATCAATCCAGTTGCTAGGATATTTCAGTATTGTTTGGTATTGTGTACGGTTCACTCTACAAATACCTTTGGGAAGTCAGAATTGTATTGCTTCCTATCTATTCTTTTCTCTTCACATTTTATCCCTGTATTCTGACAAGGGTTAAGTCTCACTTTTCCTCCTTCTTTTAGGATTTACTTTGAGGATTTAATAAGGGTAATAACCATCAGTAATTTTCTGGGAGAAAAAAAACTGGTAGAGGTACACTGCAACTCTAAACCTTTTGAAAAATGCCATATCAAATAATTATGCATTTTTACTTTCAGTATGTATAAACATTCTTGTATGGCCTTCAAAGATGTTTAGAAATATCACATTTGAATTTTCATGCTTCCTAAAGAGGCATGAGAAGCTGGAGTATCAATATGTTTTTACCAACAAGCAGGCTACATGGCCCTGGTATTTCACTGTTAGCCCTTGGAGTTATACTTCTGTGAATTCCATTAAATTTGTATATGTACTCTATTTTATAGTTCAGAATGACAATTAAACATATTCAAGAGTATGACATAGACAGTGCATGTGTCCTTACCAGGAGTGCATTTGTGTATTTGTGGCTTCTGCACGTCAAGGTGTTCTGACACTTTTTAAAAAATAAGATCAGGCAGTTTGTGAAATGTGTACCGTATTTCAATGTGTTTGAAAAAATATTTTGCTTAAAGAGACATTTTTACATAAAAGAAAAGGAATTGAAAATGTGTTCAAAGAACGTCCTCATACAAAGCAACAGGCCCAGATGGTTTCATAAGGGAATTCCATAAAACCTTCAAATACCATACCATCCCAAACACACAAAATTTTTAAAGTATAGAAAATGACAGATAACTTTCTAGTTCTCTTTTTATGATACAATCATATTATTGATATTAAGTCTTAGTAAATGTAGGGAGAAAAAAACTACAAATTAACCTCACAGATATTTATGTAAAATAATAAATGAAATTGTATTAAATTTTTGATTGAATATAGAACAAAAGATATAATCTAAGTAAATTTTAAACACAGTATTCTTCTGTACACTTGCAATGGGATTACAATCTAAGGATAAAAAGAAATGAACATTATTTAGTAGATTTGGTGTTGATATTGATATAGTTCTTCCAAAATATTTTATATATATTATAAATATTAGCATTGTCATTTTGGAAACAGAGAAATAGATATATGACATGAGAAAAGAAGGAGATAAAATCCTGGAATTAGCATGAAACCATGATTTAACATAGCTATCATCCATCTGTTGTTTTCCTTGGTTTGGTCTAAGGATGCATCTTCAAATCAATTATTCCTAGTGGCAATTAGCACAATTATTGCCAAGTGGTTTCTAAATACCACTTGCCACTGAGAGAAATCATTAGTCTTTAGATAAATGTTTAATTCCTTGGCTGAGTTGGTAAAGTGCAAGTTGATCCTGGATCATCTTATTCCATAAATTAAGAAAATGATTGAAATTGATGGGCACGTTTCAAACCAACACACAAACCCACCTGAAGGTGCTCCAACTGGCCACATTTAGAACAATTTGTTCATTAAAATGAATAATGGAAAATACATTATAATTTTGTAGAGAATCCATGAGTCAATATGGATCTTAAATTTGTAAATAAGCATGAAGAAGGGAAAGCTCTAATTAGTATAAGAATGCCAACTGGTACTTCATATAAAAAAATAAAACAAATAGAAAGCTCAGCATTTCATATCCACAATAGTAATAATTTAATTCAGGCAAAAATCATTAAAATTAAAACACTAAAACCATGGGGCAAAAGACTATTGGGGTACAGGATATTTACATAGTCTTAAGGTACTCTCCAGACACATACATTTTAATTTTTGACTATAAAAGGAATAACATATCTTTAAAATGGAAAAAGTCTGTGAACCATACTTAAACCAAATGATCAAACATTACCAATAGCGTGAGAAGTGGATATCATGTTCTTTGATCTACCAGTTTCTCTTGATCCTAAATTTTGTTTCCATCATTTTTCTTATAGTAGTGTGTTTGTGCCTAAGAATAGGACTACACTAATTAATCTTTTGAATCTTTCTAGAAAACTGCTATGTGTGCAATCACCATGCAGCCTTCTTGTGCCTCTGTAACATAAAGCTCTCCTACACAGAAATACTCTTCATTAAGACACAGTTTTATAAAGAACACAAATCTATGTTGGGAAAAGCTCAATTTTGTCTAGATAATCAGAAGGGGCCTTAATCAGAGTTGTGCTAGCTGTTTAAAAAAATAAATCCAGAATTTCATGACTCAACAAGACATGAAAGTTTCTTTCTTTCTCAAGAAATAGTCCAGCATAGGTATTCATGCTGGGAAATCCAAGGGGCACAATTTCATCTGCTTTTAGTTGATGTCAGGAAGATGGACACGAAGGGTCACGGTACGAAGATTTTCAAGAGCCAGGGACCTTCCAACTCTTATTCCACTGGAGAAAACTGAGTCATATAGCTACTTCTAGTGTAAGGAAGTTCAAGAAATGCATCGTAGATGCACAGCTGAAGAAAGGGAGAACTGATTTGAGGACACATCTTGCAGTTTCACAAATATGGTCCCTCACTCCAGCTCAGGCATTTATAAATGGCAATACTTGGAATGAGTTGAATGAGTTCTTTACTAAATAAAATGCTTTTTTTTTTTCAAAATGACCACATCCATATTCTGAAATGCACATTCTAAATACTTGCTTGTATGTGATTAAATACAGTAAACCATGAAGAATGCAGTATATTCTGTGGTCAAAATTCAATAACTTCTTCCAAAAAGTTTGATTCTCAATTTTAATGTATGTATCTAAGGAAATAGGATGAGCTAGTTCTTTCGGGAATCTTCTGCAGATACCAAGTAGCTTTGTGTATCAGTGACAGGTCTGTGCTTATGATGGCCAGCATGTGCTTAGGGACCCTATTACTGCTTAAAATCCAGTTTAATTGGGACGAGTGGTTGGTTAATGTTTTTTTTTTTCTTTATCAAATAAAGCAAGGAATTTTTAAAACTTATAAAATTCATACCTTAAACATTTTCTGTTAGCTTTGAATCTACTATTTTTATTGTAACACAAAGGTCTGCCTAATGGAGTTCTGAGTTTTCTCCAATTTATAAGCCAGACCTCAGGATGTATCTATAGTTTCTAGTTTGGATTCAACTTTTCTTTCACTTTTTCTTCCTTCTTTTCTTTTTGTGAGTGTGTATGTTTGTGAAGCATGAATTTAGAGCCATTTGCGATACAATCTGAGATCAGATTCCTTTTCTATCCGTATGATTATTCCCATCTTTACCAATCTCAGGCACAACTGGTCTTCAACAAAAAATTTTGCTCACTCTCCTTTATTGAATATTTCCAAAGCAGCTTACATTTCTTTTTTCTTTTTTTTTTTTTTTTTTTGAGATGGAGTTTCACTCTTGTTGCCCAGGCTGGGTACAATGGTGCGTTCTCTGCCCACCACAACCTCCGCCTCCCGGGTTCAAGCAATTCTCCTGGCTCAGCCTCCCGAGTAGCTGGGATTACAGGCATACATCACTACGCCTGGCTAATTTTGTATTTTTAGTAGAGATGGGGTTTCTCCACGTTGGTCAAACTGATCTCGAACTCCCGACCTCAGGTGATCTGCCCGCCTCGGCCTCCTAAAGTGCTGGGATTACAGGCGTAAGCCACCGCACCCAGCCTCAACTTATATTTCATAGAAACAGCACTTTTTTTCTTTTTGTAGACCTATTTTATAAGCTTATGAAATATTTAATGAAATTTTAAAATTATAATGATAAAGGTAAAACTGCATAAACAGTTTTGGGAACAAGCAAAATATATTCTTCCTGGGCATGCACATGCAACTCAACGGGAGCGGTATGGCATGGTATGCCATGGGGTAGCCAGTTAGCGATGGCTGGTCAACAAGCTGTGGTCTTCAATCAGTATGTTTTACAGAGGGATCAAGGCTGGTTGTGATTAATCTGGCCAGTCAGTTAAAATGTAGGTCAGTCAGTTAAGAGAACTTCGGTTGTGATTCATGTACTTTGGCTATTTATCAGCAGTAATAGCTGTATATTGCTTTTTCTATCGTTAGCAGAAGTGTTCCTTCTTCTGTCATCCCATGCAAATGCCAAACATGGGATAATATTTTTTAGTCATTTTGGATAAGCAAAGTCATTCTTTATAGAAGGATGAAGTAAATTTTTGATTTAAACATTTTGGTACTTCCTATACATTTTAAATTTTCTTCCTACAGTGGTAGATTGGGTCACTAAATCCCCACTATCATTGGGATAACATTTGATCTGATGACATGATGATTCAATTAATGGGCAGAGCCATTAATTTAGACTTCATGACTTGCTTTCTTTGACTCATGTTTCAATTAAGATTTCTTGATTTTTCTCAGGGTTTTTGAATTCCAGGGAAACCATCCCCTATGCTTACCAAAGTCTGTAATTGATTTTCCTGTTTTTAAAAGATATTTTTAAATAATTATGTGTGCAACACATATCCTTGCTTTAGTTTTGTTCTGAATCCACACCACTCTTCTAAGGATACTGAGTATTCTTTCTCATCATCTAAATGCATTTCAAGTATTCCTCATGAAAATAACAGGTAGAGAGGAAACATCGATGAGACAAAATTTAAAATGCATTTAGTGATCTGAACACTGAATAGTCATTGCAAATTTCTCTTTTGTTATAAACATACATATTTCAGAGTGTTAGAAATTTTCATTACTAAATATTTCCTTTTAACTTTCTGGGTACTTAATTAAGGTTTATCTTTCTCAAAACTCTCCTAGTACTTTAGATATTTGCTTTTCCTTTGTTATGCCCTTAAGAATTCCTCTTTGGAATTAGATGTATCTATCTCACTTCTGTGATATCAGTGAAGTGAGGTGGCATGCTTTAATACGTCTCCTTGACAGTGCCAAGCACAGCACCTCGTAGATTGTAAGTAGATGCGCATACCTTGTTAAATATGCTATTGATAATACCTTTGATATTTAACAATAATATATTTTTCTTCTGTCACTATATTATTTTTCTTGGTTAGCTGTATTAATATATACATATATAGCATATATTATATATATTTGCATGTACACACATATGATTTTACTCTTATCTACATATGAAAGAACAAAATACCATAATTTAGAGTCCCAGACAGTAACTGTCTTTAAATTCCAGTGCTTTAAAATAAAATCTAAAAAAAAAAATATTCTAATTGTACAGACCCAAATTTCTATCATTTGTTACATTCTCAAGTTATTTAAGATTTGTAAAATATTTCAAAAATATCCACTGAATTTGAAGTACACTCATGCTAATTACAAGTAAGATTTATCAGTGAGAAGATGTGATTTTTTCCCCTCATAAAGAGCTCAAGGCGATCTGGAAATGATATATTTCAAGGTAATGCCATGTGTGTTTCCTTTCTGCTTAGAATGGTTATTTAGGTTATTTATAGTTGGTTCAATTAATTCCTACAGTGTGCAGGGCAAAGAATCCCTTTATCCTGCCATCCTATAGAGCTAAGGGTATGGTCTATGCTGAGCTGGAGCGAACTTTAAAGCTGATCAAACTTCTAAGCAAAATCCTATATTATGATTAGTGATGGACCCAATCGTGTGAAGTGAATAGAGGTGAAGGAAACATAAAGGGTTCCAAGGTTGGAGTTGGATGAAAGAATCCAAAAGATGAACTGTGTATATAAGCCTTATCTAAAACCCCTTGGTGGCTGGAATTGGGTCTGAAATCTTGTTAGGACACAACTTCTCAGGAGATTTTATGCCTTTCTTCATTTTAGTCAGGTCAGAGGAGCCAAGAGAACAGTTTGCGGGTTCAAAAGCACTAAGGGAAATGTGACTGAAATTTCAGAGACAGCCCCCAGATTGCAGGGTTGGGCTCAGATGCCAGGATAACTTCAAAGCCTCAAGAACTCTTTGGACCTAATTATTAGCAGATAATAATACTTAAAATCATTTTTAAGTTATAAAGGCAATTTAGTGTAATTTTAACAAAGTAGGCTGTAGAAAGTATCCAGTGGCCAAATGAATTTCACTTTCACAAAACAGAGAAAAAGAATAAAATATTTATAAAAACAT
The DNA here is from genome assembly GCF_000001405.40 of Homo sapiens. NCBI lineage: Eukaryota > Metazoa > Chordata > Mammalia > Primates > Hominidae > Homo > Homo sapiens. The sequence continues at coordinate 40,895,652 of NC_000011.10, read as the reverse complement.
ATTTTTTAGAGACTTGGGTTCAGACAAAGAATAATGCAAAGCTTTGTGTATCTGTATTTCTAAATACCTTTTAAAACAGAAGACTCAAGTATCTGCTTCAGCAGGCACAGAAGATGATGTCCCTGGAATTCAGAAGCCCTGGGGCTGCTACAGACAATTTTTCCAGGTACATTTTGGGGGCATTTTTGTATCTGCAAAAGCGATAGGATGTTTAGTACTCACTGTTACTATAATGTTTCTGTGATTATCAACTAAATGTAATTTTGGGGTTTTTTTTGGTATTTTAATTAGTTTAGATAAAAATTTAGTGAGGGGGATTTTTTAACATATTATATTTAAAATATATGGAAATCATGATAATAACAAAGGTCATTTAAAATTCTGGAATCCTTTAGAAATCAAATTTGACCAGGTATCTAACATAAATAATTCTAAGATATAACTATTTTAAATGTTAAATTTTATTGCTTATAGTTTAAAAACATTTCTAGCATTTCTGTCAAGTTTTCAGTACATTTTTTTTTCCTTGAACAATTATTTCAGCCAAAAACTCTGCTAATTCACCTCAGGGTAACAAGAGTGACCAATAAATACATTCCGTACAAAGAATATTAGAAATTAGCTATCAAGCCAATTAATAAACATTTATTAACATTATACTTTACAAAAAAGAGAGATATGAGTTAGAGGGGCTAAGATGAAAAGATAGCTACATTCATGGAGCTTACAAAAAGATGGCTCAGATAAGAAAATAAATAACTATATACAAGGCAGAGTATAATATGTACCAGAAGTCTAAATGTCAAAACGGGACCAGATCTTATCTCCATAAAAGAACATGGTGAAATTAAAGTGGTTCCAGGCCTTGAATTATGGGTGGACTGTCGATAGGTGAAGAGAAGGGATAGAGTTTCAAGAAATATCCATTGGCAGAAACTGTGATGGAGTTAACATATGCACACATATTTGGTTGTTGGGTGGAGAGCTTGAATATCAGAAAGCTAAGGAGTGTAAGGCATTTTGATCTATTTCTGTTCTTAGGAAATACTGAAATGCTGGGATGCAGAAAGTGACTGGATCAAAGCCAAGCATAAAAAACTTTCTAACAAAATCCCATAATCAAATTCTTTCATAATATTTTGTAAATTTATTTCTTCTCTATTCAGAAAAATAAATAATGATCAGTGTCAATATCTCTGTAAAATGGATCATGTTGCATTTCTAACAGATTTGGCCACAGTGTAGACTCCCGATAATCTGCTAAGAAAACTTAACGCTGGAACATCCCTCAGAAACTGGAAAAATGGAAGTCTTTCCTTTGCTGCTTTATAAAAATTCATGAATCTATAATAATTAGATACTGATTTGAGGGAATATTTATATTTTGATTAAGTTAATTTATTAATTACCAAAGCATTTTAGAGACATGTATCAATACGTTTTGAATCTTTGGACTAAAAGTCTATAAACTGAATTTATGGTGAAATTACTGGATATTTAACAGAAAGTATCTAACAATTTTAGCATTAGAGAAATTAGGTAAGGAAAAAATTGATCTGCAAAGCATCTAAGAATTCAATTAACAAACTGAACCAGCTATAATTGGCAAATGATTTCATGGATATTAATTTGTCAAAAACATGCAGGTTTATGATCTTGGGGTTAACTGAAGACCATGTATAAATTCCACTGAAAATGTACTGTGTATGTTTTGAATTTATTGTCAAGAAGCAGAGCAGCTCAGATTTCAAAACTTAGATATACAAGCAAGTAGGCAGAGATATATATGCCTCTGTGTGAATGTGTGTGTGTGTGTGTGTGTGTGTGTGTGTGTTATAATACGTAACTAAAACATTTTTCGGCCATCCTTTCTGAATCAGAGCCATAATCTCCAAATCTGAAGTCATATATATTATAGCCTTTGAACACTATGACATTCTTCCGTGACCATAATTTGGTAAGCATTTTGTAGATCCAGCTAAATGACTGTGTAAAACCAATTATATGCCCTTAATAAGTGCCTGTGAGATTAAATCATCTAAGTTCTGAGAAATGTCTCTTCATAGTTTTCCTTTTTTAAAATTTCTAATTAGTATGGATACTTACTAGTAGGGCACATATATTTATGTCTATACACATAAATATAATGTATATATTTATGGAGTACATGAGATATTTTGATACATGCTTGAAATGTGTAACAATAACATCAAGGTGAACAGGGTATTCATCACCTCAAGCATTCATCATTTCTTTGTGTTATGAACTTTCCAATTGTACTTCCTCAGTTCTAAAATGTGCAACAAATTATTGGTGATTGTAGTCACCCTGTTGTGCTATGAAATACTAGATGGTATTCATTGTAGCTAACTGTATTTTTGTACCTAATAACAATCCTCATTTTCCACACCCACACCCACACTTGCCTTACCAGGCCTCTGGTAACCATCATTCTACTCCCTATCTTCATGAGTTTTTAAAGTTTTAGTTCCCACAAATGAGTGAGAACATGTGAAGTTTGTTTTTGTGTGCGTGGCTTATTTCATTTAACATAATGTCCTTCAGTCCCGTTCATATTGCTGTAAGTGACAGGATTTCATTATTTTTTTTGTAGGAGTTATAACTATGTTCTTAGAAAAAAAACACATAGAGATAAATACTTGTGACCTTGGATTGGGTGATAGTTTCTTTTTTGTTGTGGTAACACATACACAACATTTATCATTTTAACCATTCATAAATGTACAATTTAGTGACATTAAATACATTATAATATTGTGTAACAACCACTACTATCTTGTATATACAAAATGTTTTCATTATCCCCAACAAAAACTCTGTACTCATTAAACAATAACTTATATTCAGCCCCCAGCCGCTGGTAACCTGTATTCTACTTTCTGTCTTTACATATTTTCCTATTCTAGGTACCTAATAAGTGAAGCAAAACAATATTTGTTTTTCTGTGTCTGGATTATTTCACTAAGCATAATGTTTTCAAAATCCATTCACATTGTAACATATATCAAAATTCCATTCCTTTCTATGGTTGAATAATATTCCATTTGTATCTTTTTACTACATTTTGTTTATTCATCTGTTGATGGACATTTTGATTTTTTCCATCTTTTGGCTATTGCAAATACCATTGCTATGAACACTGGTGTACAAATATCTGTGTAAGACCCTACTCAAACATCTGTTGAAGTCCCACTTTGGATAAAAGTGGGGTTGCTGGGTCATATGGTGGTTCTAGTTTTTATGGCTGAATAGTACTCCATTGTGCATATGTACATGTTTTTTTGTCCATTAATCTGCCAATGGACATTTAGGTTGCTTCCAAATCTTGGCTGTTGTGAATAGTGCTTCAACAAACATGAATGCAGAAATCTCTTCAATATACTGATTTCCTTTCTTTTGGGTCTGTCTAGCAGTGAGATTGCTGGATCATATGATACTCTAATTTTAGTTTTTTGAGGAACTTCTTTTTTCTTTTTCTATTTTTTTTTTTTTTTTTTGAGACACAATCTCGCACTGTCGCCCAGGCTGGAGTGCAGTGGCGCCATCGCCACTCACTGCAAGCTCCGCCTCACGGGTTCAAGTTATTCTCCTGCCTCAGCCTCCCGAGTAGCTGGGACTACAGGTGCCCACCACCACGCCCGGCTAATTTTTTGTATTTTTAGTAGAGACGGGGTTTCACCATGTTAGCCAGGATGGTCTCGATCTCCTGAACTCGTGATACACCCACCTTGGCCTCCCAAAGTGCTGGGATTATAGGTGTGAGCCACCACGCCCAGCCCCCGAAGAACTTCTATACTGTTCTCCACAGTGGTTGTAGCAATTTGTACTCCTACCAACAGTGTATGAGAGTTTCCCTTTCTCCACATATTCACCACTATTCATTAGTGTCTTTCTTTTGGATATAAGCAATTTTAACTGGGGCGAGATAGTATCTCGTGATTTTGATTTGCATTTCTCGGATGATCAATGGTGTTGAGCACATTTTTATATATCTGTCTGCCTTTTGTTTGTCTTAGTTTGAAAAATATCTATTTAGATCCTCTGCCCAGTTTTTAATCAGATTATTAGATTTTTTCCTGTAGAGTTATTTGGGCTCATTATAGATTCTTGTTATTAATCTCTTGTTAGATGGATAGTTTGCAAATATTTTCTCCCATTCTGTGGGTTGTCTATTTCTCTGAAGGATGTCATTGGTATTTTGATGGGGATTGTATTGAATTTGTAGATTGCTTTGGGTGTGACAAACAGAAATGTCTCTTTAAATAATAAAATAATACTTTTAGAATTCAATTGAAATGTCCTATGAAGTTTACTCTCACTTTGGTTTTTGTTGGTCTGGCAAGTTTGTCGTTGTTGTTGTTGTTGTTTGATTTTGTTTGTTTGTTCGTTTATTTGAGACAGAGTTTCCCTCTTGTTGCCCAGGCTGGAGTGCAGGGGCGCGATCTCAGCTCACTGCAACCTCCGCCTCCACCTTCCAAGTTCAAGTGTTTCTCCTACCTCAGCCTCCCGAGTAGCTAGGATTCCAGGCACCCTCTACCGTTTTCTGGCTAATTTTTGTATTTTTAGTAGAGACATTGGCCAGGATGGTTTTGAACTGCTGACCTCAGGTGATCTCCCGGCTTCGGCCTCCTAGAGTGCTGATATTATAGGTGTGAGCCACCATGCCCAACCTAGTCTGGCAAGTTTCGAAGAGACCTAGCTGTAAATTTGAATTCAGTTCAAATTCTGATTCCTTTCTTCCCCTTAGCTTTTTGACATTGGATATGTTTGCAATTTTTTTTTCAGCCTTGTTGCTCTTATTTTAACAATTGAGACTGACACATTTAACTTCCAGGGTAATTTTGGGGATTAAGTATGTTATGACATACTTAATGTCATAACATACATTATGGGCATAGCATGCAATCTGTGCTACTTAACGAGCTTGGTAAATGTTGGGAATCCCATTCTGTATTTTCTCTCCATGTTCAGCTATTCTACTCCCATAGAACAATGGTCTCCTCACCAATGACAAACACCATTCTAAAATTTTGATCCAAGTTAGTAAGATAAATTGCTCAAATAATGTATGCAGCAGTGCTATGGTTTAAATACGTCTCCAAAATTTTATATATTTGAAACAATCCTAAATGCAACAGTATTGAGAGGTAGGAAATTTACAAGGTAGTTAGGTCATGAGGCCTTTGCCCTCATGAGTGGATTACTGTTGTTACTGAGGCAGTGAGTTTATAATCATGACAGAGTTTTGTCATAAAGGGAATTCAGCCTTCTTTTGTTCTCTCTTTAGTGCTCTCTGTCTCTCTCTTCCCAACCTTCCACTAGCAAGAAAGCCCTGACCAGGTGCCAGTACTTTGATATTGGACTTCCCAGCCTTCAGAAGTGTGAGAAATATATTTCTTTTATTTTAATATATTACCTACTTCGTGATATCCTGTTATAGCAACACAGAATGGACAAAGATATGCAGGGTATGTGTTTTCCTTTTCTTATCTCATTATGACACAAATGTCAATTCTCCATCTTAATAAATGTGACTAAGGCTTTCCTGAAATCTGAAGATGCAAGGAAGGTATGATGGAGACCACCTGACAGATTAAAAGGTGTTTCTGGTCTGTAGAATAAGAATCTAATTATTTAAACTTCCTTTTGGTCATAAATTGAGGAGACATGTAGTATGTTCTGTGCTGTATTAGAGTTTTTAATTATACATTGACTATAAGCCAGGATATGTGCAAACACTACATTCATTTTCTCATTTAATCTATAAAATAATATATATATGAAGTAGATCTTATTATTATGCCTATTTTGCAACCAAGCGAGTTTTCTGGGATTCAGAGAACTTGGGTAACTTATCTAAGTTTAAACAGAATGTGACGATATCAAGTCACAAACAGAAACAGAAAAATAGCACAGTGTTGCTACTGAAATATTCATATGTAACACATTGGAGTTGGTTACATATGAATGCCAGAATGCAGAACACCCAAAAAGAGATAATGGATGGTTTTCTAATCACATACACTGGAACTACAAATAATGCACGTTATATAGCATATAATTTTATTCAAAAAATATTTTGTTTTTGTTTAATTTTCTTGAATCAAGAATGGCTCTGTTTTTGTTCTATGCTTATTTTAATAAGGAATACCTGTTAATGGTATACAAAATATACATGAGAAAAGAAAAAATCACATAAACTCTCCCCACAATGGAAGCAATTGTTAATATTTTTGTGTATATTCTTGGAGATGTATATTTGCATGCAGATATAAACAAATAGATTTGCTATTCATAAAAATTGAAGCATACTGTTTTACTGTTTTTCAATCTTTAATTCACATTAAACAGTATATTATGAGCATCTTTCCTTGACAGGAAATTTGCTTTCACAAAACCTAGCTATATTTTAAAGGACTGTATAGAATGTGTATGGATATTCCTGAACATATCTAACTCTTTTCTTGAACATTTAAATTTAATGCTGCAATGAACATGCTTTTAATAAAATCTTGGGGCACATTCTAAATTATTTTATTAGCATGAGTTCCTACAGTGGAATAGCTGGGTTATATGGTACACTAAATTCTACAGCTTTTCATAGGTATTTCCAAATTGCCCTCCAGGAAGGAAGGACCCTTTATATAAGATAATATTTGGTAGTTTTATTAATAATGGCTCATTGCCTTAAATAACGATATTTAATGTATTAATTTAGTTCAGAATTCCTTAAGGAGAGAAAAATAAAAGAAGATAAGCATTTTGGTGTGAAAATTTTATTGGCAGCACAGGGCCATTGCTACTTCATAAGCATTTACCTCTAAAATCATAAATGTACACATGAGAACCTTCAAAGATCTCGGACATATTTGAAGAGAAGATATTTCATTATAAACAGTTACCATATCATGCTCTAAAAGTTTGAAATTTGGTTAATCAAGAGAAATTTCCATATTTCAGTGAATAAATTAGCTATGGTTTCCATTACCATGAAATAAAAAAGTTCCTTCCAATTCTTTTTATGGGAAAGTTGATGTCTTGGATGTACAACTTAGTTTCCTTGAGGGAACAACATTTCCAAATAAGTGGGAATCATTTTTCAGCAAAGAACAACTTCCAAGTTGGTGAAAACTGGTTCAACATTCTGCCTGAATTATATATTAAACGCAAGTGTGGAAAAATATATTTTCATGGGTAATCTTCGAACATATACATGCAATAGATTGAATACTGTCTTTAGATATAAAATTTAAATACTTAAAAATATACCTTCCACTTACTGGAAACAAATGAACAAGATTTTAAGAGACAAAAATAAGAAAGCCCATACAACTTTACCTAAAATATACATTTTATTATAAATTATCATTGACATATTTCATGTATGTTTATATCTATATGGGAGAAAACAAATGCTCAAATTTATGATCACATTTATTTCCGGAGAACAAGAACTCATGTACTTACAATGTTTCAGAACCCTGGAATTTTCACAAAATACCAGGGTTTTAAGCTACTTAACTAACAGGAACTAAAATGAAATGAGACATATGTTGATCTAAAAATCAAATGGAGACTCAGTGAAGTAGGCTCTTATTCTGATTACTAGTGCCAAAGACTAATTCTTTATAAGACTATATATCTTTTTTTAAAATAATAACCAAACTTTTACATGTTTGAAGAAAAACTTATAATGAAGGAGAGGCATGGGAAATTAAGTATAACAAATGATTTCCATTATAATGTTAATTAATTTTCTAGGCAGTACCTTAATAAAGAGCCACAAGGATATAGAATGCAAACAAAGCTATAAAAATATTTACAACATCATTAATATTCTAGAGAATTGGCAAAGATGCCACTGGTAATTCAGACTTAGCATGTACACAGACAATGCTTTGCATCTAGAAAATATGTTATGTTAAAACATACCCTGGAGAGATCATAGACCTACCTTTTAATTTCTCTTCCAAACTAGTACCAAACTCTAGAACCTTGGCAATGTATTCGTCAATCTAAGCTGGCTATGCTATGGGTAACAACCAACTCCAATGTGTTTTTAACAAAACTAAGTTTATTTTCTCTTCCACAAGTTCAAAGTGGGTCAGCAAAGTCTTTGCTCTGTACCTCAAATACTTAGTATTTCCCATAAACTGGAATTTAGACCTAATGACTTGATAATATTCAGGTTCAACAGCTCAGCAAAAATATTTTATAGATGGTGCTGTGTCATTACTATTTCAGCATACGAAGAAGTGCATCTAGTCATCCTATTTTAAATGATGCTAAGTTTGTTCAATGGAATGAACAGAGACTAATATTTCCATATTTCCTAATGGTTCTAGAATCCACTGATGATCATTGTCTATACCAATTGTCTCATTATGGCTTGAAAAATAATGATTTTTCAAAATCTTTTTTTTATGTGTATTAGCTGGAAGACTTTTGTAAAGGAGGTTTTCTCATCAAATAGTTCCTTTGATGACCTAGAAAGTCAGTTCAAATAGTCATGAAGAATGGCTTCTTAATATCTTCCCCTTTTGATTGCTAGTATTCTAAGTAAAGACTTGGTACCCTGGCTACTTTCTATATGTATATATATATTTTCTCGTATGTGTGTGTGTGTGTGTGTGTGTAGATATATACACGTATATATATATATGTATATATATACACACACGTGTATATATACGTACACGTATATATATAAATATTTGCTGTGTGTATATACACACACACACACACACATATATAAACATATTTGCTTGTGTATTGATTGTATATTTGTACTTTGAAGGGGAGGGTCAGTGGAGAGAGGGATACTAAAGTGCATGAGCAAACAAGGCTAATTTATGTAGACTTTTGTTACAGTTTATCATTTCTTCATTTAGTATAGAGTTTATAGTGCTTGAATATCTTGACTTTTTTTCTAACTTTTAGAAGTTTCTGTATTTAAAGAGTCATTTCTACTGACAGAAAATTGAATAATAAAAGATGTTGCATAACTTCAGGAATTAATTTAAAGCAGGACACATTTTAAAATTCATCAGTTGAGGATAAACTCCTTAATTAAAAAAAAAAGAGAGAACTCCCTTTTGTTTCTACTCTATTGCTTTGAGAATTACCTTTTCTAGGACAAAAGGGTTTCTATTGGGTTATTAAAATGGCAGGTGTGAGGTTTGTGAGAGTGTGTGCGTGTGTGTGTGTGTGTGTGTGTGTGTGTGTAGCATTTGAAACCAGACTTTGGACTACAGTAGCACTTCTATTGCATTGAATTGAAAATAACTCCTACTGGCTATTTCTCCAGTTGAGAAGTAGATATTCAGGTTATTTTAGCCAAAGCTACTTAACTGGGTTTTTCTAGGGCTAAGAGAAATTTGGAACATGAATCACACCACTGAAATTTTTGGCAGTAATTTAGGATTCCAAATCAAGTAAAATCAATATTTGACTCATTTAATAACTAAATAATTGATAGAATTTAGATAAATAAATATAAGTGTATTATTTATTGTTGCTTTATTAATTACTATGCCAATGGAGATAATATCCAAGTTTACAGAAGGAGCAAGGTGCCACTGACAATTTCTCTCATTTTCTGCCTACATTCTTGGGCAGCACATTTTATATTTCAGACACTATTAATTCTTCAGTAATGGGGATGGGAGAGGCCTGTCTGCTTGCTCCTAGCCCCATGCATTCTGCATTCTACAGCCATCCAAAATATAAGGGGATCCTTAGAGCATTGAGGCCCTTAGGGAATTTCAGGTTGATGGAAAATCAATAATGCCTTTAATAAGTATTTAACATGGCACCTGGTACAGGGTAGAGGCCAAAATACATTTGGTGAATGGATATGTTGTTGAATGATAAGTACTCTGACTAAATAGATGCATTCTTTTAGAATGATTCACTTTTGGTGAGTGTATGTACTCCAAAAATCTACCTTACAGCATTTTTGATATTTTTATTTTCAGTACGATACCTGTGTCTCTAAATTATAGCAGGAAATCTAGAGAGTTTGTTGATGATACTGCCTATTTTACTGTGAGGCTGTTTACCATTCCATTTGGAGTTTAAATGTAGCTCTCAAATCATTACAGAGCTTATATAGCAGAGGATGAAAATGGATGAACTATCTTTTAAACATGTCTCAACATAAGCCACAGGGTCCTTGACCTTTGATGCTATGGATGGCTATGGATAATGGGAACACAGCTGCTGCCTAATACAGTGGGTGTGGCCTGGTGTCTGTGTAACAATACCACTCACATCTTGCAACTTAGATCTTGCTCCTTATCGAGCTCAGATCTGCTTTCTCTAAAAAAGAGGACTTAAGTAATTATAAAAAATACAGTGTCCATATTTTAGCTAAATAAGTGCTAAGCAATAACTTTAAATTTAACAATTAATTTATTCACTACTAAAAAGTTTATTTATGTATTTGGAATGACTAGCAATAAATTTATTTGTGATATAAAAGTAAGCCTAAATACAAACAGTTTGTATAGGGGGTACAAGTGCATTTTTGTTAACAAGGATACAATGCATAATGATGAAGTTTGGGCTTTTAGTGTAACCAGAACCCAAATAGTGTACATTGTTCCCAGTCGATAATTTTTCATCCCTCACTCCTTTCTCACCCCCCACCTTTTTGAAGTTCCAGTGTCTATTATTCCACTCTTGTGTCCATGTGTACACATTGTTTAGCTCCCACTTGTAAATGAGGACATGAAGTATTTCACTTTCTGTTTCTCCATTGTTTTACTTCAGATAATGGCCTCCAGTTCCATGGGATAGATTTTAAAGGTAACTTTTTTTAAGTAAAAGATTCAGAAGCAACTCTACCAATATCTACACTTTTTTTAGGAAAATAAAAATTGCGAAGTATTGTATACATTTACACATCTAGTCTATAGTATCATTATCAAATTTGACCTAAAACCAGAATTACAAATGCCTTTCAGAAATTGACATGTCCAGTGATATAGAAATAACTGTATAGTAATAACTATTTCTAACACATTCCCTACTGCTTCAGCTTTAGAACAGTTCCTTCTATAAAACCAGCTTATTTCTCTGCATCAATGCTTTTACACTGTTGGTGGGAGTGTAAATTCGTTTAATCATTGTGGAAGACAGTGTGGTGATTCCTCAAGGATCTAGAACCAGAAATAACATTTGACCCAACAATCTCATTACTAGGTATATACCCAAAGGATTATAAATTATTCTACTACAAATAAACATGCACACATATGTTTATTGCAGCACTATTTACAATAGCAAAGACTTGGAACCAACCCAAATGCCCATCAATGATAGACTGGATAAAGAAAATGTAGCACATATACACCATGGAATACTATGCGTCCATAAAAAAGGATGAGATCATGTCTTTTGCAGGGTAATGGACGAAGCTGTAAAGCATCATCCTGGGCAAACTAATACAAGAACAGAAAACCAAAATTGTATGTTCTCACTCATAAGTGGGAGTTGAACAATAAGAACACATGGACACAGGAAAGGGAACATCACACACCAGGGCCTGTCACGGGGTAGGGGGAAAGGAGAGGGAGAGCATTAGGACAAATAAGATAATGCATGCGGGGCTTAAAACCTAGATGATGGGTTGATAGGTGCAGCAAACCACCATAGCATATGTATACCTATGTAACAAATCTGCACATTCAGCACATGTATCCCAGAACTTAAAGTAAAATTAAAAAAAAAAAAAACTAGCTTATGGTTCACACATAGATATCAGTTTCATTATTTTGGAAACAAACTTGTAAGTTTTTTAAATCCGTCATTTTGAATAACAGAAAGTCATTTCTATAGAGATCCTCAGCAGTTAATAATTCCATGTTTATAACATGTTTTGGCATAATTTCTTATTAGAAAAATGACATTTTCCCTGAAGTAGCATTTTTAAAGGAAGAAAGAAAAAAAGCATGACTTATAAAGCTCTAAATGCTTATATATTTAATTATATATGTTTAATTATGCAATATATATGTTGATATACTCATAACTCAGAATAAGTTGTCTTCATTCATTGGTGAGAGTTTATTTGAGTTGATGAACTGATTTGGTGTTTGAATGGCAATTGCACCCATGAATTAAGATTCTTCCTATATTAAAGCATTTATATTAATTTTATTTCTGATTATTTAAAAATTTAGCTATCTGCTGATAGAAATCTTTTCGAATGTGAGTTCAGTTTATATCCCCTTTTTTTTCTCAGTATGACTCTGACCAGTCACTTTAGGAGTAAGTCACTGAAGCCATGTTTTCCTAGAAAATACTGCCCTATCCAGTCACAGTTGACTATAGGGGGGCAGGCATTGACTCAAGACTGGAAAGTTGCATTTCTTTTTTGAAAATTTAGAGTTGCATCTCAGGGACTCTTGTTAACCTCTTTTAAGTAGCTGGATTGGAAGATGATAAAATAAAAAAAGTAAGCCTGGTTATCTTTAGTGTGGAAGGCAAAGGAAAGACAGTTAATGACAGGACATGGGAATAGAAGTTATCCCAAAAGAGGCCAGGATGATATGTACACTGAGACGGAGATGCGAAAAGTAGCCTTTTAGTTCCAAAGCCTTTTAAACTTGGTCCCCATACCTCAGACCATTCATGGTTCACAAATAAGAAAATACCTCTAATATAATAAACCCCATTTTGAAGCAAATTTTAGTTGATTTCTATAAAATGCAACCAAAAGAGTGTTTATTTAGAAGTTTATGTGCATTAGACAGTGCATGCTTGCTAGATTCTAGGCCAAGAATTTAGAGGAAAATAAAAAGCAGTAGCCCTGACTCTCACTCCAACTCCATTTTATTTCAAGAAAAAGAGAAAGGAAGAGGAGGAGAAGAAAATGAAGGTCAGTATGGGCAGTAAATAATTACAGTGTACTGTGTTAAGTCCTAAAATAGCAATAAATGTTACATTTTAAAGGAGGACAGAGTTTGGGGTAACAGGATGTACTTCATTGGAAAGATGGCATCTGGAGCCTTAGATAAGTAGGACATCACTAGGCAGAGAAAGAAAAAAATGGAAGTTCCAAGAAGTGAAGGAATAGTATGTAGAAAGATGCAGAAATGAGCAGGAAGGTGGAATATATATTGGGACATAAGGCTGGAAAGAAAGAGCAATGCCAAAATGTAAAGTCTGAATTCTAGCCTAATGTATTTGGACCTTATCCCACAGGCCGTAGGTAGTGTGACCATATGTTGCAGTTTGCCAGGAACTGCCCTAATTTACACTTGTCAACTTGGCATAATGATTAATAGCACACCTTTTTTTTATTCTCAAGAGTGTCGAAGTTTCGGTAATACAGTATTTGATCACTGTATCCATAGGGAACTATTAAAAGATTAAGCTAGAAATAACATGAGCAAATTGTTGTTTCCAGATGATCACTTGTGGGGTTGTGTAGAGCAGCAAGCTTAGGCCTGCTAGTCATTCTAGTTTATGGTCAGTTTTTATAAACAAAATTTTATTGGAAAGCAGCCATTCCCAATACTCATTTATAATCGATGGCTGCTTTCATGCCTCGATGGCACAGCTGAGTGGTTGTGATAGAGATCAATCATAGTCTGCAAAGATGAAAATATTTACTATCTGGGTGTTTATAAGAAAAAAAACCTGCTGACTTCTAGTATGAAGCAAAAATGGAAGAAGTAAGACTGGAAGCAGGGGATTCTTGAATCCTAATTTCTGTTTAATAGAAGAGTACCTGCCTTGCTCATGTTCAATAAGATTTGAGTTTTGGTTCCAAGTCACAAGTTTATTAAAATATATAATTTGGATAGAGATATTTTGTCATGAGAAAGTCTTCATTAGATTGAGATATTTTACTAGGAATCTTGACAAAATTTCACAGAGGTGATTAAAATTTTACATCTAGAATACAAAGTAATATTGTGAGATTGTTGTGTTCCCAATATTTCTGTCCAGTAAAAAAAAAAAAGAAAAAAACTACAACTGCCATTAAAAATGAACACTAAATAATCCTCAAATATGAAAGTAATTATATAAAGGTCACACAAAATGAGAATAAACTGTTGAGACTGAAAATGGCCTCAATAATATAAATCACAGGAACAGTAAATAACCCCACACCTACTTTTATTCTTGGGAGGGAAGACCATGTGACAATCTGATTTGTTTTTATTGCTTTGACGCAAAACACACAAACCCAATATATCTTACCCTTAAGTAACTTGCAAAGAAAAAAGTGTTTGTGTATGAGTTGCTAATGGCCTCAGAAATGAGTAAGACATGTGTCCTAGATTTTATTTATGTAGGATACACAATAATCAACAAAAAATGTATGCTGTTGGACTGAATTTAGTAAGATTATAAAATTGGAGAGAAAACAGTCCCTCCTCACATTTCTAAAAACCTTGTAAAGATTATAAAGCACTGAGATGGGGAAATTTATTTTTAGTTCCCCCAAACCATATGCCATAATATTTACTGAGTAATATTATTTGTATCAAGAGGTGACAGTATTATTTACAAATAGGAAGACTGAGACTCAGGAGAAGGGCACAATTTTTTTTAATCTATGTAACTGAAATAATTTCATGAATTCAGACTCTCATAATGCAATAAGCAAGAATGTTGCTTATTCTCTGGCCCTTGGGCAAGGACCTTCCACTGCCTTACTTCCTATTCTTTTCCTTACAACATGTGGTAGAATTCAGGGCTCCTTGATTTGAAAAAGAAAAATATATGTGTATACATATATATATATATATATACACACACACATTTTATTTGCACTCATGTCTAAGTGAAATTATCATTTTTGTGAATTGTAAATGTAGGCAGGGAAGCCCAGTAGCTTTATCAAAAAAATACTTTACCTATAACATTAGAGTTGTCTCAGATACTGGAATATATTATTTGCACTTAACACTCCTTTGAAATTATTAGGTATTAGAATTATTACTAGATGCTATTTGATGCATTAGTAAAGATATACATATATTCTTATATCAAGAATAATTTGATATGTTGATAATACTATAGCAATATAATTCATTTCCTCTGTAATTCTGTGTAGTTTTTTTTTTTTTTTCATTTAAAAATCTTATTCTGTGGAGGGGTTCGTAGGAGTCACCAGATTTCCAAAGGGAACCATGGCATAAAACCCTTGGTATAAAAAGTCAAACTCCTCCAAAGGGAACCATGGCATAAAACCCTTGGTATAAAAAGTCAAACTCCTACAAGAGTCAAAAATATCTGTTCAGTTAGCTATTGAATCACCTCAGAGTTTAGTGACTTAATGCAATAGCAATCATTTTATTATTTACCGGGGGGATTAATTAAATCCTAATTTCTGTGAAATTGAATCCTAGTTTCTGGTGTTTGACTGGACTCAGCTTATTGGTACTTACACGGAATATATCAGCTCTGATATTTTCTGGAGCTGAAGTCGCCTCAAAGTCTTCCCCCCTCTCAGGTCTGGCAGGCGGCTCTAGTACTTCCAGCAGACCTTTTGGCAGTTACACCTACTCATGCCTGCCTGGTTTTCTCACAGCATGGCAGCTGGTTTCAAATGTGAGCGTCCGAAGAGATCCAGACAGAAGCCATGTTGCCTGTTAGGACCTAGCCTCAAAAATCATGTAACATACCTTTCTCCATAGTTACAGACTTGTCCAGTTGCAAAGAGAGATGACACAGACCCCAACTCTCAACAAGCAGAGTGGCAATGCCACATCATAAGAACTTGTGGGATAGGAAATATTCAGGTGGCTGTCTTTGGAAAATACAATCAACAATAACATTCCAAGGTTTTCCATGTTTTTGAGCCTTTTCACATAATGTATCTTCTGATCTAAATCTTTTTGCCTTATTTATTTAATATTATACTCTTGTCTTCCCTTCAAATCCAAAGTAAAGCACAAGTTCTACTGAAAGTCTTCCCTGAAGGTCTTCCTCCAATACACACAAACACAGTTAATTTCTTGGTGTGCGTGTGTGTGTCTGTTTGCTGCTGTTTTACCATCCTCCCTTTATCTGTGAGTTTACTTAATAAATTTTAGTACGTACTTGTTTGTAGGTCTCCTTCTTCCTTGATTGTGAGCTCTTCGAGGACAGAGTTTCAGACTTCCCCTCTGTTTTCCCCCACAGGACTCGTTACATATTCACGCATTTGTAGGATGAACAACTTTCCTTTCAAATTCCTTCTGCTGTCGCCTGTTAGAACAAGTAAGCCATCATCTTTCCATGAGTTGGGTGGCTTTGTGTTATTGACAACTGCTCTGACACAGTTTGTGAAATTTTTGAGCACACCAAACTGTTTCGTTAAGAATTAGGCCAGCAGTTTGAGGTTCACTCCAACAAGTGATGGAGTTTTATAGCTGCTTATGATTTTTTTCCCTTAAGATTTTAAACCTTTAATATTCAAAAGCTTGAGTTTTCTGTGTTTGTCAAAATACCTTTTCAGATGGAAACTGATTTTCCAGTGATCATGACAGAGAGCTCCATGGAGCACATGAGTGGAGACTATGACTGTTCAAGGCACTGTACAAGAACACTATTGAGAGTACTCAGTATTATTATAGATGATATGTTTTTAAAGATGTCCGTCATGAATTACTTATAGTCGTGGCACTTAGAAACTTTGAGAAGAATCAACACTCACTGTATGGAACTATGTGAGGCTCACAGCCAGACATGGGGATGCAACAACCCCATTTACTGATTCCTTCCTTCCAAGATTGAAAAATGAGACCAAGGAAACAATGTCAGTTCAACATAAGCAAATAGCATCTCTAATTCTTGTAAAACTGTATGTGAATAACATCACCACTGCCTCAAAACCAAAGGCAGAGACACCACACAGCAGTGCTAATAATCTGATATAACATAATTTCTCCAAAAGTGATCAAGGTATTTGAATAAAGCAGATAAAATGTTAAGTCATAAGTTAAGTCAGGGATTCCCAACCCCTGGGCCAAAACACCAGGCTGCACAGTAGGAGGTGAGTGGCAGGTGAACAATAAAGCCTCATCTGTATTTATAGCCACTCCCCATTGCTCACATTACTGCCTGAGCTCCACCTCATGTCAGATAAGCGATGACATTAAATTCTCTTAGGTGCACTAACCGTATTGTGAATTGCACATGCGAGGGCTCTAGGTTGTATGCTCCTTATGAGAATCTAATGCCTGATGATCTCAGGTGGAGCTAAGACGGTGATGCTAGTGCTTGGGAGTGGCTGCAAATACAGATCAACATTAGCAGAGAAGTTTGACAGCAAAGAGACCATAATAAATCAATTGCTTGCAGACTCATATCAAAACCCTATCAGTGAGTGGCAAGTGGTAATTAAGCTGCATCTGGTGGCAGGCTTTACTGTGGCAGGTGAGTTGATGTACTTTAATTGTACAGCTGCATCTGGTGGCGGGCTTTAAGTCAGAATCCGACACTTATTTTAGTCTACACGCGGTCCACCCATTATGTTATCTACCACTTCCATCCGTGACTCTTTCCCACACTGCACACTTATCTCAGTCACAGTTTGGTAAGCTCACAAGCCCTAGCCAAAATGATTAAAAAACAGACATCACTGGAGAGCTTCTTTGAAAAGGGGAGAAGATTCAATGATGAGATAGCAGAAGACTCTAGGACTACCAACAAAAAGCTACATCTCAAAGAAAATACCAAGAGGCCTACTTAAATTACAGGTTCATTGTAATAGCTGATTCACATTCTCCAGGCCTGCTTTGTGTAATACGTGTCGACTGGCTTTCCAACAAAGCTATGAAAACTTCAAAACTGCTTTGCCACATGGAGAGCAAGCACCCTGCATGAAAAGACAAGCCTTTGGAGTTTGTTGTTGTTGTTGTTGTTTTAATGTGAACATGAAGAACAGAAGCAATATTGAAGGCCACCACTTCGTCAAATGTGTCTGCACTGAGAACATCATTCTTAGTGGCTAACCGCATTGCTAAATCTAAGAAGCCCTTTACGGTTGGTGAAGAGTTGATCATGCCAGCTACTAAAGATATTTGCCATGAATTTTAGGAGAGGCTGCTGTTCCAAAGGTGGCATGTGTTTCCCTTTTGGCTAGCACCATAACTCGGTGAATTGATGAAATAGCAGAGGATATTCAAGGGCAACTGTTAGACAGGATTAATGAGTCACTGTGGTATGCAATCCGGGTTGATGAGTCTGCTGATGTTGACAACGAGGCAACAATGCTTGTTTTGTGTGGCATATTTTTCAGGGGATGTAAATGAAAATATATTATGTGCACCTTCGTGGGCAACAAACACCAGAGCTGCAGAACTATTTAAGTCTTTGAATAATTACATGTCGGGAAAACTGAATTGGTCATTTTGTGTCCGTATGTGCATACGGACAGAACAACTACCCTAGCTGGACGCCTTTCTGGTTTGACTACTTGGGTCAAAGAGGTCGCTTCTGAATGTGAGCCTCTACGCTGTATCATCCACAGAGAGATTCTGGCTAGCCAAAAAAAAATGTCACCTGAACTTAACAACGTTTTACAGGATGAGTTTAAATTATCAACCTCGTTAAAGTACATGCCCTTACATCTGTTTGCACAGCTCTGTGAGGAGATGGACACAGAGCATACACATCATCTTCTCTTACTCACAAAAGTGAGATAGCTTTCTAAAGGTAGATCACTGGCCAGAGTTTCTGAGTTATGAGAGCTGCTATCAAGATTTTTTTTTTTTTTTTTTTTTTTGAGAAAGAGCCTCGCTCTGTTGCCAGGCTGCAGTGCAGTGGCGCAATCCTGGCTCACTACAACCCCCACCTCCTAGGTTCAAGCAATTCTTGAGCCTCAGCCTCCCTAGTAGATGAGACTACAGTCTCCTGCCACCACACCCAGCTAATTTTTGTATTTTTAGTAGAGATGGGGTTTCACCAAGTTGGCCAGTAAGGTCTCAATCTCCTGACCTCATGATCTGCCCGCCTTGGCCTCCCAAAGTGCTGGGATTACAGGTGTGAGCCAGCATGCCCAGCCTGAGATTTCTTTTAGAAAAACAGTCACCACCGGCAGCACATTTCAGTGACACAGGATGAGTCACAAAACTTGCTTACTTGTGTGAAATATTCAACCTGCTCAACAAATGCAATCTGCCACTTCAGGGGAGAATGACAACTGTGTTCAAGTTGGCAGATAACATGGCTGCATTCGAAGCCAAACTGGAACTTTGGGGGCGACAAGTGAACACTGGGATTTCTGACATATTTCAAACATTATCAGGGACTTTGAACGAGACTGAGCCAGGATCTTCTTTCTCTTAGCTGGTGCATGATCACCTGTCTCGGCTTTCAAAAGGGTTTCAGCATTACTCCCCAATGAAAAAAAAAAAAAAAAAAAAACCCTAACTGAGAAGGAATGGACTTGTGACCCATTTGTGAATAAGCCTGGTGAACCAACTTTGTTGGTACTAGAAGAGGATCAACTGCCTGAGATCGCAAATGACAGTGGCCTTAAAAGTATGTTTGAGATAAATTCCAATCTCCATATATTCTGAATTAAAATCAAGACGAAATATCCTGAGGATGCCACAAAAATACTGAAAATCCTGCTCCCATTTCCAACATTCTATCTTTATAAAGCAGGATTTTCTACAGTGACAGCAACCAAAACGAGATTACAAAGTAGACTGGACATAAGTAACACACTTTGGGTGTCACTATCTGCCACCGCCCCTAGATGGGACCGTCTAGTTGCAGGAAAACAAGCTCAGGGCTCCCACTGGTTCTACATTATGGTGAGTTGTATAACATTTCATATATATTACAATGTGATAATAATAGAAATAAAGTGCATCACAATACATGTAATGCTCTTGAGTCATCCCGAAACCGTCCCACCTGCCCGAGTTCATGGAAAAATTGTCTTCCATGAAACCGGTCCCTGGAGCCAAAAAGGTTTGGGACTGCTGAGTTAAGGGATTAAATATGTGCGATTACTTTAGAACACAGCTACAGGTTGAACATCTCTTATCCAAAATGCTTGAGACCAGAAGTGTATTGGATTTAGGATTTCTTCAGATTTTGGAATACTTGCATAAATTTAATGATATATCTTGGAATGAGACCCAAGTCTAAAGGCAGTCCATATTCTACTCTGTTGGGAACGTTGAGAACTAGATAGGTCATACTACTATCCTAGAGGGAAATCAGTGCATGTAACGCCCTTTATTTAATTCATCAAATGCGGGATCTTGACAGTGTTCATTTTTGCTGAAAAGATTATTACAACATACATTCTGCTTTCTTATTTGAGAATTTTAAAATATTGACTCAATGTTCCCAATAGATCAGAAGTATAACTTTTCGACAATGTCACCTCATTTGTAAGATCTATTAAAAAATAAAGTATTGCCTTTATCCTCTTTTAGAAATAGATTAGTAGGAGTAGAAACATTTTTAAAGAAAAGCTATAATCTTGGAAATATTTCTATTGTGTAAATTTTTTCCTGGTTCTAAGAAATTTAGTGGTGGTTTCTGGACTCTTAATTGCATTCTTGTGTACTAAAATAATAATAATAAATGTTATATAAATTCTGACATTTTATACTAACAAGTATATCTTTATTATTTACTAGGCTGAATGGGAAATGATTTCTATGTTGATTACCTTTTGTAGAAATATGACTCAAATGACTTCTCATTGTTATCTATTTAATAAATAAATTAGTTCTAAGAGTAGTCAGAACCATCATTTTGTAAACCACATCTTTATTCACTCAGTATCTCCTTAGGGAAAAACAGCGGTGTCTTCCCTCCAGACTGCTAGCAGTCCATATTCCAATCCCTACAGAGACGTGGTACTATACTATGTTGCTGCAAGGCTACCAGACACCCTGGCCTCATTGCAAATCCAGTGAACCCGAATCTCTATAGATGAAATCTGTGTATTTGTACTTTTCAAAGCTTCTCATATGAGTCTAATATACAGTTAGGTCAGAGCAACCTGGAAAACAAACATAGGATTTTCATTTCTGAATTTAGTATTTCCTCCACAGTTGCAGCATTTCGGGTAGGTAGGTGCTCTTCTGATGAAGAAAGGGAAAAAAAGTGATGTGAAGAATATTTTCCAAAGTGGGAGGCATGATGTGACATCAAAGCTGAGAAAATAATTCCCAAGCTTTATTCATTCCAAAGTAGGACATATGTGCTCTCATTTTTCATGGTCCATTTGGATAGGGCAGCTCAAGAGGGCTGATTCTGGACCAGCAAGGCAGAGAATAATCTTTTCTTGCCTAAGCTAAAAAATGGTGAGATGTGGAGAGTTACTGGAAAAAAAAATGCATAAAATCCTTACAGAACATTGGTTTAAATAAAGCTGTGTCCACACTATGTACAGAAGAAACCCTATACATCTTGATTCTGAGCTATGAGGTTTGTTTTTTGAGTGTGGGGGCATGAAAAGAAAACCCCAGTGCAATAAACAAATCTTTATAAACTTGTACATATCTGACAGGAGATGGTTTAAATCTCCTTGGAAAAACCATGTTCCAATATTGTGCATTTTCTCTATGCTTTTACTTTCTGATCTCTAATCTAATAATGGCCACTTGGCCTGTGTATTATCTGGTATTAGCCCTCTGGAGAAAATTTAAATGGTACACAACATTGTGCTCTTATATACATTATATCTACTCTGTATGTCAATGGTACAAAGACTGGATATTGAACTATGGTTTTTACAAATATCCTATTCAATGATGGGAAATGTATTGCTTTGGATTTTTACCATAAGAAACATGAAACATGGAAGATGTTTATTAGAAGTCTGTAATTCGAAATGCGATGTCAAAGAAGGCAGAAAAGTTAAAAGAATTTAGTGTTGAATTCTCCCGCCAGTGATACAAGAAATGAACTTAAGGCAGAGGTAGGAGAAAAATAAAATCAGCTAGAAATGTGAACCAATCCTACTACCTCAATTGTCTAATCCATGCTGTATGGGAGATCGATATTGATCAATATTCTGGAAATTAAGAAGACATTTACAATTTGGGGTGTAAAAATGAGTATTGGGTTTGAAATTCCATTGGCTCCCCTGTTTTCTCAAAGTGTCCCAGACGTCTTACCCCTTACAGTAACTGAGTCATTACCAAAATTCCTTAGGTCCAGTGATAGAGGAAGGACCCAGTTTATTTGCAAATTGTGAGTACAGCTACTGTTTTATCTGTGACACAAAATCATCTTTACATTTCTGACGGCACACCTGAGAGGCTCCATCTGGTGGTGTGGCAGTTTCTGATACAGAATGACTGAACATCCAGATCTCAAACTATTGTTACAAGCTCACCTATAGAGTGCTAGCCATTATTGAGGCACTGCAGCAGCAGGTTGCATGCATTAATTCCTGTTATTAGTACAACATCAGATTATGGTACTTCATTGTTGTTATTATTTTTATTATCCTCATTTTGCAGATATAGAAACTGATGCTTATTTGGAGGAAGCAATTTGCCCAAGGATACTCTGCTAATAGAATTTGAACCCAGGTCTTTCTAATTGTAAACATGAGGACTTCACCAGGCTGCTAACCTCTCATTGGCTTTTATTCTCAATACTATCTAGTCTCTGCAGTCCTACTGAGATATTTTTCCCCTCATCTGCATCATTATCCCAAACTGAAAGTTTAACTTACAGCAAATAATAAAAAGACCTGATGATAAATTTTTGTTTTAAAATTAAAGATTCTAACTCTTGTTTTTAACAACTGGTAGAAAGATAACATCAATTAAAAAATGTGATCCTGATTCTCAAAGTGAGAAGCACAGTGAGATTAAAGCAAGATAATTCTGTGAAGTAAATTTATTTTTTTCCTAGAGCATATGAGAAATATGCTTTCCCCTTTTACTTGTCCATATTGACTACTGAAATATAAAATTTATGCCACAGTACATAGGCCTCTCTTGATCCCCACTATGTCTTCCAAGCTCATAGAGTAGCTGGCATTCTGGAAGCTTCATATTAATATCTTTATTAATCATAAAGGTATACAATTTACCAAATCCGGGAAAGATATAGGTAAACAGCAAAATATCAAAGTAGTGGTCTTTAAGAAGAGACATTTAAGTAACATAGAGTCGAAAATTATTCACTTTACCAAAAGGAGTATATAAGAAAATGCTGGGAATGTGGAAGATGCTCAGAAAATAATGGAAATAATGGGAAATTCTTGCCATAAGTGAATTATTTTGCTTCGACTTTATAAATGGACCAATAATGAGCTCATAAACTGTTCTCCCAATTATAGAATTAAATTGACAAGCATAAAACATTTGCTTTTTTTTTTTTTAACTTTCAGCCAAACCAGTTTTAAGGAGAGAGCCAGGACTATTTTGAGAGCCCAAAGGTACACTGGATCTCCAATATCAGAGTAGCTGGCAGGCTTGCCCTAACAGGAAATGAAGGGGAGCTGGACATGGGTATCTACAGTGTCCCTTTCATAAGATACTTCTTTAACTGGTGGATGTCCCGATGCCTAGTTGTCAGATCTCGCCACCAGGGCATCCTTCACACAGGAAACTCGTTTAGAGTAGTAAATGACCTTGTGGCTCTTATCTCACCCATGTCCAGTGTATGCCTGCCTGACCAATGCTCTGGCACTAGAAACCAGTCCTTGTGTTCTCCCAGGCATTTCTGGGAAAGCCTGGCCTGGAGAAACCCCTGGTTCTTCAGATGGAAGGCACATATTCAATACCACCACAATAGGACACAAGTTCAAAGATTTTTATTTACAGATCCATGGCAAGGAAGGTGCAATGAGTGTGTAGGGCAGTTCTCCATCCCCAGGTCATGTAAGGCAGGTATAAAGAAGGATAAGAGAGGAAAAGTACAGCGTGTGACTCATTTTATGTTTGGGAACAAATGCCTGAACGGTCCTTTTAAAGGAAGCTGCAGGAGAGTGGGGAGTCTAGTGTACCAGGTGGAAGAGATAACTCTGAGTTCTTATCTCTGGCTACCTGCTTGAGCCATTTGGATGTAGTGTGGAAGTGACGCTTTGTCTGTGCATAAACGGATACAAAATGACCAATTCAGTTTCCCTGATATGTAATCATTCAAGCTGTGACAAGAGTGACTGGGCCCTGTATCGGGTGAACCTGCCCACAATAGTCACGTAGGTTCTTTTCTATTTTCCCTAAGTGTCAGCCAGTCTGAGAAATAAAGGGACAGAGTACAAAAGAGAGAAATTTTACAGCTGGGTGTCCGGGGGAGACATCACATGTCGGCAGGTTCTGTGATGCCCCCTGAGCCGTAAAACCAGCAAGATTTTATTAGTGATTTTCAAAAGGGGAGGGAGTGTACGAATACGGTGTGGGTCACAGAGATCACAGGCTTCACAAGGTAATAAGATATCACAAGGCAAATGGAGGCAGGGCGAGATCACAGGACCACAGGACAGGGGCAAAATTAAAATTGCTAATGAAGTTTCTGGCACGCATTTTCATTGATAACATCTTATCAGGAGACAGGGTTTGAGGCAGACAACCGGTCTGACCAAAATTTATTAGGCGGGAATTTCCTCATCCTAATAAGCCTGGGAGCACTACGGGAGACTGGGGCTTATTTCATCCCTACAGCTTCGACCATAAAAGACGGCCGCCCCGCCGAAGTGGCCATTTCAGAGGCTACCCTCAGGGAAGCATTCTCTTTCTCAGGGATGTTCCTTGCTGAGAAAAAGAATTCAGCGATATTTCTCCCATTTGCTTTTGAAAGAAGAGAAATATGGCTCACCGGCAGTCAGAGTTTAAGGTTATCTCTCTTGTTCCCTGAACATTGCTGTCATCTTGTTCTTTTTTCAAGGTGCCCAGATTTCATATTGTTCAAACACACATGCTCTACAAACAATTTGTGCAGTTAACACAATCATCACAGGGTCCTGAGGCAACATACATCCTCCTCAGCTTAGGAAGGTGATGGGATTAAGAGATTAAAATAAAGACAGGCATAGGAAATCACAAGGGTATTGATTGGGGAAGTGATAAGTGTCCATGAAATCTTCACAATTTATGTTCAGAGATTGCAGTAAAGACAGGTGTAAGAAATTATAAAAGTATTAATTTGGGGAACTAATAAATGTCCATGAAATCTTCACAATTTATATTCTTCTGCCATGGCTTCAGCCAGTCCCTCCGTTTGGGGTTCCTGACGTCCTGCAACAGCCCTGATTCTAGTATGAGAAAGTTGAACTTGTATTCAAAATAGATCCCCAAGGGAATATAAAATTATAAGAATTCACAATAGGTGCATATACCAGGTACATACTATCCTCCACACCATATCCCATGCACCACCAATTCATGGAGCACAGCAACCCCCCACTCACAGTGAAACATTGATAAGTTATAATGAGAATAAAAGGAGAGATTGGAATTGGAATTTTTTTGAAAACTATAAAATATTCTGCAGATAAAAAGACTATTAATAATATTTTTATATAACTTTACCCTTCTCCACATGGCTTGTTGTTTTCTTTTTATTTGGTGTTATGCACATTGGAGATAGGGAGCTCCTTGAGGACTTAACCTTGTCTTGCTTTTTATTATATAGTTCTTGGTACATGATAGTGTTGGCAGTGGAAAGTATCTGAGTCACACGGCACCACAGTATGTTATGAACAGCAAATCTGTATAGGTCTGCAGCTACCTCAGTTCTTGCCTTCTCAGAAGAAAGAATTAGACTGAGGGGCCTAAGGCAGAAGGGGAGACAGAGGCAAGTTTTAGAGCAGGACTGAAAGCTTATTAAAAAGCTTCAGAGCAGGAATAACACAAAGGAAAGTATACTTGGAAGAGGGCCAAGTGGGCAACTTGAAAGACAAGTGTGCTGTTTGACCTTTGACTTGGGGTTTTATACGTCGGCAAACTTCCAGGTTCTTGCGTCCCTTCTCCCCTGATTCTTCTCTTGGGGTGAGCTGTCCACATGTGCAGTGGCCTGCTAGTGTGTGGGAGGTGAGCACATGTGTTTACTGACGCTGTAAACACGCTTACTTGAAGTGTTCTCTTACCAGCCAAATGTCCATAGAAGGTCATATACCAGTTAAACTGCCATTTTGCCTTTTAGTGAACGTGCTTGAGCCCACTCACCCAACTCCTGAGATCTTATCGAGAAGCTGCTGATCACCAGTTTCAGATGTTTCTGTCTACTGGGAGACTGCCTTTTCCTGGCGCTGGCTGTGACCAATTATTATTTTAGAAATTTAGTTTACTAACTGCCTGACCATCACCTGATGGTTGACTGACATTCCTGATGGTGGGGGTCCCTCTCCTGCCCCTGCTTATGTCTGCCTGACTACCTGCTGTAAACAATAGGTCTTCAATAATAATACTAGAGCTGTTATTGTTATTCTTGAAAGCTGATTGAGATTTCAATACATAATTTGTGAACATGTAATTAATTTGTCTTACCTTTTTATATTTCCTGGAACATAACTGGGTTGTGTTTGCTTCAGGTAATCCTAGCTAATGTGCTCATTCTGTGATCAGAGGCATTGTTTTTTAACTTCTTTCCATCTCAGTTTTCTTACTTCTAAATGGAAATAATCTATCCCCCACAGGTTTGTCTTCAAGGCTGAATGAGATACTGTGTTTAAAAGTAAACTTAAGCTATTAAGGGTCATCCTAATGTTATTAGTGTTTCTAAGTGAGCTCAAGTAATATAAGGAACAAAATAAATGTCGTGTCTCTGAGACCAAAGTACTTTCTCAGAGAATAACAAAAGGTTATTTCCTTCTGTATGACTTACTTAATTCAGTACAGAGAGAAGGGGACATGATAGCCCAGAAAAACACAGTTTCTTAAATATCATTGTTAATATTATGAACAACATAGTTTTGAATTCTTTCTTTAAAAACATATTAAACATTTCTAGCATTTTTAATTGCATCTTTGATTATATATTACAAAGCAGAGAAGTAATCCCCAAAGATGATCAAACACTAAATATTTTCCTAGTTGATCTAACAAGGGAAGTGGCTCTGCTTCAAACTTGGTGGTGGTGGGTAGTCTTTAGGGGTTGGGCAGGGAAATAGAAAGGTATCGGAAGAAACTCTTCTCATCTAGAGTACTGTTTTGGGTTCAGGGCTTTAGAGATAAATCTTCCAAAGTTTAGAATGAAAATTTCCATCTGAGTTTTCCTGCTGACTCATCTAAAAATGGCATTAATGTGGGTGTAGGAGGAATTTCTGCCATGGGAATGAGAACAAACAGGACTTTCCAGATGTTTCCTCTGAAAGTGAAGTCCTGATCCTCTGACTTGTCTCTCCCACCAACTTGGTCATAGTGAAATATTAAATAGCATTCTTCAGTAGTTGAAGCTTAAGCCATTATGGCAATTAAAACCACATTCCCTGTTCCTTTTCCACAGTTATATATTTACTGAAGGATAGCTCAGCGAGGCTTTATCCCTTCTCTCCCCCAACCCCTGTGATTTTCACAAGCATCCCCCAGCCATTCCAATGTGCACACAGTTTAAGAAAAAACAATTAGCTTGTGATGCAAATGCTCTCAAGAAAAGCCTCATAGGCTTTCTTAAAACCAGATGACTAATCCTAAGTACTACGTGTATAAAAATTCTGGAGCCCTCCCTAGCTCTCTTTTTCTGGAGGTTGAAAAACAGCCACAGGGATCTGCTTTTCATGAGCTAACATGAGTTTCATTCACTGAAACATGCAAAATTCTGGAGTCACATGGGTTTCACCAAACCGTTTCCCTTGTGCATTGCCAGAGTGACATTATCTAATGAGCATGCTGGATGGGGTGAGGCAAGCTGAGGTGTGCATCAGGTGCACTTGTCATGGATGCAGACCTCTGAAGGACTGGCTTTCAAGTCTGACTTGAAAATTTGATATGGCTGTCACTTTAGATTAGCCTCCAATTTAAATTCAGCTGTTGTCATTTCCGTCTTAGCATCATAAGTATATTGACGGAAGGCCCTGAATAAAATCTCAGTCCCAGAAAATCTTCTCTGTTAACATAATGCTAGAAAGCAACTTTGGTGGGGTAAAATGAGCTCTACACAAATACATTGCCTTAGCAAGAGAACTTGCTTCTTTTTTCCCCCCAATTGATTTATTTCTACTTTTCAGAAGTCTAGACTACTATACAAAAAATGGAATGTGAATGCACAGGGCAATAATAGTGATACTAATTACTTTAAGAGTCACCAATGCTGATATGTTTCTCATTTAGCCTTCATAGTCACTTCCAGAGACAGTATTATTGCAAGTTTACAGTCAAGAAAATGATATCTGGTAGGGCTTGACTAACTTAGCCAATGTTTCAGGACTAGTGAGCTATTGAAGTCAAGCCCTCATCTTTCTAAATCCAAAGCCCACGTCCATGCTTCCTACATTGTAGATATATATGGAGTACAATGATGGAAGTAGTTCTAATTTATTCAATACTTAGGACATGTCAAAAACAGGGTTGTGTTGGTGAACGAGGCAATGCTTTCCCCATCCACAGCTTCCTTACAGTATAACTGGAGAAAGCAAAATAAGTGATTAAAGTAAGACTTAAGATTTGAAAGGAAAAGGATAGAATGCTCTGGCATCATATAGCAGAAGAATCTTAACATATCCTGTGAAGGAACATATACAGTCAAACTGATAATCAAATAGTAGAATTTGGCCAAGTGAAGATGGAGGGGGCATGAGGAAAGACGAAGGAACAAAAGGAGCAAATATAATGGAAAAGAATCAGAGTTGAGAAAACACATAAGTTACTAAAAATGCAAAATGGTCTGTGAGGCTACAGGATGGAGAATGATGAAGACATCCATGGACTATAAAGCTTGAAATAGGAGCAGAAGTCATATTATGGAGCTCCTTATAATGTTGTCATTGTGCTACATGCTGTGCAGAAAATAATAATAATTATTATTCTGGCCCTTAAAACAATGCTGCAAGTCAAATGTCATCACACAATTTTATCAACAGAGAAGCTGAGGCTCAAAGAGTTCACGTAGCCAATACCCAATTGGCTTGACTCCCAAGCTCTTGATCATGACAGTCCCCCACACTACTGTCACACCTCTTCACTTAGCTATGCCAGTTGACAGAGACAGTGAGTCAAGTTATCTTCCTGCTTGGTCTTTACTGAAATGTTAATGATGACCCCAACCACATGTCTAGTCAATTCATTTTGTGATGACAAGTGGGATCATGCCATCTTAATTATAGCATAATTGAAAATGTACGTGATTTTCATGAAACTTTGCAAAGAAGGCCATCATTAACATTTAATGCTTTGCCCACATTTATCCAACTTTGTAGATTTGACATTTTATACTTTTCTGACCTTTTTGGGTTGTTAAAAGGAAATATCTTTTCTGTATTTCCTCTATTAGAGAAAAAGAAAGCCAACTGTATTAGTATTTATAGAAGAAAAAAATAGAGGGAAATAAAGATAAAGACCACATTTCTTACCGCTTTTTTTTTTTTTTTTAAGTAGAATTACCCTGGGATTTCAACCAGAGACTTTGGGCTGCTCTGTTATTGATCGGTCTGTTCTATATAAAGATCAGACCATATACTTCTGACCCAATTGGCAAGGATTCATTTATAGTCTTCACCATTCATATTTTAATTTGTTGCTTATGGCTACAACCTCATATAGACAATTTAATAGAATAAAATCTTCATATTTCATCCAATAGATTAAAAAAATCTACAGATTTTTTTTTCAAACTCATATTGAACATAGTTTTCACTCTTCGGGAAAAGTGCTTATGTTATTAATAATGTACTTTAAATTAACCCTACAAATTATTCTCTTATTTTTCCTTTCTATAATATGCAGTTTAATCTTTTATTTGCACTCTGTATTTTATATAGGAAAAATATTTACCTTTACCCAAAGGTTTATGCTCTTTAAAAAGAATGTTATCTTCTTGGTATTCTTCAAGTTTTATTTCTTTAGATTAGAACTGAGGTGTGTACATTCCTCAGAGATAACCCACCTGTTGAGATTTTGGGAATGGCTTTTGTTATTTATTTATATTTTTATTACAAATTTATTTATTTTTGAAACTGAGAGATAAAATTACACATATTCATCACATACAACATGATGTTTTGAAATTATATATATATATATATATATACACACTGTGGAATGGCTAAATCTGACTAATGAGCATATGCCTTGCCTCATATAGTCATCATTTTTGTGGTGAGAATACTTAACATT
Organism: Homo sapiens; assembly: GCF_000001405.40. Lineage (NCBI taxonomy): Eukaryota > Metazoa > Chordata > Mammalia > Primates > Hominidae > Homo > Homo sapiens. The sequence goes on along the minus strand of NC_000011.10, from coordinate 40,865,425 downwards.
TTGTTTAGCATTTTCCAAGAACAAATATATTGTCATTAACTTTACTCAGTATGCTGTACAATCATCCTCCTATCTAACTGTAATTTTGTACCTTTTAACCAGCATCTCCCCAACTTCCCCCTTCACTGCACCCACCAACAGCACCACCTCTAGTAACCATTATCATAACCGTTATACTCTATTCTGTGAGATGAACTTTTTTAGTTTGCACATATGGGTGAGATCGTGTGGTGACAGCATGTATTGCTGTGCTTGGCTTGTTTCACTTAACATACTGTCCTCCAGAGTTAACCATGTTGTTACAAATTATAGGATTTCCTTTTTTATGAAATTAGCATGTGGAAAACATCTCTGCACTCTCATGTTTATTGCAGCACTAGTCACAATAGCCGAGACATGAAAACAACCTATGTATCCATCAGTGGATAAACGGATAAGAAAATGTGGCTTTTTGTTATGGTTTGATCATCTGTTGAGGTTAAAATGTTACTTGAACCAGATGCTAGCTTAAACAGTTTTATATCACCTGTCCACTTATCCCCTTGTGTAATATCTTTTACACACAGAAGGGGCTACATGCTGAGTGTAGAGAATATTGAAAATTTGTTGAAAAGCTGACAGCCTGAAAATATGAATCTATAAAATTCCATAGTCCAGATAGAACAAAGATATCATATCTCCTTTGCCAGTGCAGATTAATTATTAGCTTCTTCTTAGAATACTAAGAAGCTGTGGTAGCCATGTCTTTGCCTAGTTTGAAAGGGTACCTTAATCCACTAGGTATGTCTGCCATGGGCACACAATAAGAGCAGGTGAGCCATGGGTTTTTCAATCTTGCCTTAGCTATACAAGGTTGGTCTAAATCAGGAGTCATCAACGTTTCTCTGTAAGACCAGATAATACATATTTTACGTGTCAAGTGCCTTATGTTCTCTGTCTCAACTACTCAGTTCTGCCATTGTAGTCACAGAGTTGACAAGTGTAGTATGTAAGGGATTTTCAGATAAGTAAACTGAGGCAGCACTAGTACATCTTGTGGTATAAATTAGTGTGTGTTGGCTGGGCATGGTAGCTCACACCTGCAATCTCAGCACTTTTGGAGGCCAAGGCAGGTGAATCACCTGTGGTCAGGAGTTCAAGACCAGCCTGGCCAATATAGTGAAACCTCATCTCTACTAAAAATACAAAAATTAGCCAGGCATGGTGGCACACACCTGTAGTCCCAGCTACTCAGGAAGCTAAAGCAGGAGAATCACTTGAGCCCGGGAGGTGGAGATTGCAGTGAGCTGAGATCATGCCACTGCACTCTAGCCTGGGTGACAGAGTGAGACTCTGTCTCAAAAAACAAAAATAAATAAATAAATATAAATAAATAAGTAAATGTTTATCACATGCATTGTTCTTGTCATTTTGCCATCAATATAATTATTTTTCCTTCAATTAAAAAAACTGCATTTTTGTGATCTAAGATTTTTTGATGAAAAAAGGAGAACATGCAATGTTTGCTGGAACATAAGCTTGTATTGGTAAAGAATATTTTCTTTACAGGTGACATGAACACAACTTAAATAAGTTAAGCAAAAAGGAAAGCAAATTATAATAACACAAAAATATCTTTTTGAAAAATTAAAAGTTGTGTTTGGCCAAATTATGACCTATTTTAACCATAAATTTAATGAATAGCAACAAGAAGGATTTCCATCTCTGCTGGTATCTGAGTATTTGCTTTATTCTTCTGTCAGATTTGCCTTTTAATTTCCTCCTTATCTTTAAACCACTTGAAAAGAAATATGGCTCACAAAATTTTCTGAGCTTATGATTTCAGCCTTAGAGAAAGCCTCTTCCTTGCGTTTACTTCCTCAGTTTTTGAGAAGACTTTTGGGTCAAATGCCCATACCAGGGCTATTCAACTAAGAGAGGTGGGGCTGACAAAAGGGTTATAAGGACCCAGTTTAGGGGTGGCCCATGATATCATGAGACAGGTTCCTAGGAAAGAGAAGGGGAAGTGGTTGAGTAATAAACATATGTCTGTTCTACCAATTTATACAGAAACTATCCCGTCCTTAAATTTCTACTTGGCATAGTGAATGAGCCTTTCCATTTTCTTGGAAAATTTTATGACTGTTGGGCAATTCCAAGGCAGCCACCTTCTGAGTGTGTGGAAACATCAGGCGATATTCTTGGTAAGTAGACCATGAGTGAGAGTGAATTAGTCTGTGCTTTGTTGTTGGACCAATGAGCCTTAGGCTAAAAGGTTACTCATGTGAAAACAGTGGAATTGAACTTGAAGAAACCTATTAGCTCTGCTCAGTCTTTTGTGCTCTGTTTAAGCTACATAATAATTCCATCTTCCTCCTTGCACTGTGATGATAACCTTCAGTGCTTGCATCTCAGAATCTATTGAAAGGAGTAAAAGATGATCCAAAATAACGTGTTCCGTGTTGGAGAACCTCAAAGCATGAATAACCCTATCTCAGAAGAAATCATTTGTTCCACAAAAGAAATAAGATCTTCCTCCATGTGTGAAGCTGAACTACTACTTAATAAATGCCCCTCAGCAATGTACAGCATTTTTGGATGAGAACATTGGCTCAAAATGGAAGTGCTGAAGAGTTTTCTGTGGCTTTTCTCCCTGACTGTTCCTTATATAGCACTTGACACACAGGAGAGTTAAAATTGTGGGTCTAGGTGACAGAATCAGGACATCAACATTCAAGTACTTTATCCATCTTCCATGATGTCCTTGTATTCCCAACCAATTTGTAATATAGAGAACTATCTCTCAGAAGAAAACATTGCTGAGAAATTGCTTCCAGCCGGAAGAAACACTTTGTGTTTCTATCCCCAAGTATTTTAACAGTCAGTTGTTTGGGTTTTTAAAGCCATGACATGAAGGTTAGTATTTACACTAGTAAGAGATTATTTAAAAAACCACAGAAGCATATTTGGATTTGTTGTAAAATGTCTTACTTTAGTAAATGGTTTCCATTTTCTTTAAAATATTCTGAACAAATGATTCTTTGCCTCCTACAAATAGCACATGCCATTCAGACTTCATGCATTTGTGAAATCAATTTTTTTAAATTTAAATAAGAGCCTAAACCATGGTTCACCACTTTGCTTCCCTTTCCAAACACCAAAGTCAAAAAAATAACAGCAAGAAAAAACTTCAAACACCTACCTTCTATTTTTCTTATACTAAGGCTAACTTAGTAATATACTATAGAATAGTGTGAATAATTTTAAAACCATCTTTTATTTGTATTCAGTAGTATTCCCATGTAACTCAGATGTAACCTGAAACCATGTACTTTTGTAAATGAATGGACCTTCTTTTCCCTACCCTCCCATGTCCTGTCAGAGGTACAGAGCCTTTCCCAAGACTGCTGATATGGTTTGAATATTTTGTTGCCTCCAGATTTTACATTGAAATGTGATCCCCCATAGGAGAGGTGGGACCTGGTGGAAGGTGTTTGGGTCACAGGACCAGAGCCCTCATGAATGGCTTGGCTCCTCCCCATTGTAATGAGTTACGCTGAGAACTGTTTGTTTAAAGAGCCTGGCACCTCCCCACCCCACTTTCTCTCACCATGTGACATGTCTGGTCCCACTTCACTTTCCACCATGACTGGAAACTTCCTGAGGTCCTCACAAGAAACAGATGTTGGCACCATGCATCTTGTATAGTCTGCAGAACCATGAACCAGAGAAACCCCATTTCTTTATAAATTACCCAGCCTTGGGTATTCCTTTACAGCAATGCGTAACAAACTAACACAATAACCGTGCCTTCTTGGGGTTATATCTTCTCATGGCTTCCCTTGTTGATTTTTCATACTTACAATGTCACAATTAGTCCTTGGCCACACTCCTGATCTTACTCCTTCGGGTTCCTCTCTTCTTTGTTCTTGGTTCTATTCTCAGATTTTCCATAAACCTCATCCATAATGCAAGTTTTTGGTAATGGAATGAAACTGAACATTGGAGTTTCACATAATAAAGAGATGAATAATAAATTTCACACATCCCTGTTCTTAAAAGGACTAAACCTTTCTTATCAAGGGGTCTCCTTCCAGGCTCATGTTTCTCTTTTAAGTCCCAGGTTTCCCAGGTCTCCTTGGAGCTGACACCTTTCTGTTCAAGACTTCCCACACACCTCTATCTTCTTCTGCATATCTGAGGATCTCAAAATTTATTCTACTTTAAGATGCCTTAGCATTTCCTTTTCTATCTTCACTCATCTCAGCTATATTTTGAGGGTATTCTTTACATAATTAAAATTAACAAGAAGGTATTATAATATATAAAAACTTAGTTTCCCCTGAGAGTTATTCTACTTTTTAAAATAAAAACTTGTGTTCACTTCCAACATAAATATGTTCTCATGTAATTTACAATTATAAGACATGTTCCATTCTTTAATTGAGGTGAAATACACATAACATGAAATTACCATTTTAAATGAACAGTTCAGTGGCATTTAATATCTTTACAACGTTGTCCAATCACTGCTACTTTCTAGTTCCAAAATATTTTCATCATATCAAAATAAAACCTTGTTTCCAATAAGGAGTTATTTCTCTGTTATGGGTTGAATCGTGCCTCACTGAAAAAAAAAAAAAAAAAAAAAAAAAAAAAAAAAAAAAAAGATCCTAAGCCCTGGAACATCAGAATATGACCTTATTTGGAAATAGACTTAAGGCAGATGGGATTCCTTGAAATGAGGTTATCCTGGAGGAGTTGGGGTAGGGGAGTGGGATATTAATTCAATATGACTAGTGTTCTAATAAGAAGACAGCCATGTGAAGACAGAGATGCACTGGTAGTACACCCCGTGACAACAAAGTCAGAGACTGGAGTTATGCCACTGTGAGCCAAGGGACTCCAAAGATCGCTTGGCACATCAGCAGAGACTAGAAGGCAAGGAAGGATTCTGCTACAGATTTCAGAGGAAACATGTTTCCACTGACATCTTAATTTCAGAGGAAACATGTTTCCACTGACATCTTAATTTCAGAGGAAACATGTTTCCACTGACATCTTAATTTCAGACTTCTTACCTTCATTGTGAAAGTAAATATTTATTGTGTAACTTACTCGGCTGGTGGTAATTTATGATGGCAGCCCTAGGAAATGATACACTTATATTCCCTCTACCCCTACCCACTGGTAAACACCAATCTGCTGTCTGTCTCTGTGGAAAAACTTGTTCTGATATTCCATACAAATGGAACTACACAATGTGTGACCCTCTGTGTTTGACCTCTTTCATTTAGCAAAATGTTTTTGAGGTTCATTCACATTTTATTTATTTATTTATTTATTTATTTATTTTTTGGGGGGACAGAGTCTCGCTCTGTCACCCAGGCTGGAGTGCAGTGGCACAATCTCGGCTCACTGCAACCTCCGCCTCCCGGGTTCACGCCATTCTCCTGCCTCAGCCTACCAAGTAGCTGGGACTACAGGCGCCTGCCACCAGGCCCAGCTAATTTTTATTTTTTTCTTGTATTTTTAGTAGAGATGGGGTTTCACCGTGTTAGCCAGGATGGTCTCGATCTCCTGACCTCGCGATCCGCCCGCCTCGGCCTCCCAAAGTGCTGGGATTACAGGCGTGAGCCACCGCGTCCGGCCTCATTCACATTTTAATATGTATCAGCACTTCACTGCTTTTTATGGTTGACTAATATTGCACTGTATACACATATCACAATTGTTAATAAAAATTTGGGCTGTTTCCATCTTTTGGCGAGTGTGAAAAATTCTGCTAGAAACATTTGAGTACAAATTTTTTTTCTCTTTTTTTGAATTTTATTTCTTTTGGGTACAGAGCAAGGAGGGTGATTGCTGGGTCATATGGTCATTCTGTGCTTAACTTTTTGAGAATGCACAGTATCTATTTGTAACTTGTCATTTAACCTTGTCTTACAAAGAGTATATATTTCAATTATATTGTGTTTGTGAGTACAGTCTTACTAAATATTCACAAAATAATAAAGTATCCAACATTTACTGAGTTTCTACTGCATGCTAGATATACAATACATAAGTCTACGAGCCTCTCAAGCATGAATCTCATTTCATTACTACGGACTTTCTATGACTCCTTCACTACCATAATCTCCTTTTTTCAGAAAACTGAAAGTATACATTATCTGACCTTGCTTTCTGAGTTACTCAGTGGTAGAGTTATTATTAAAAACTAATGGCTTGGACTCTAGAACCTGTACTCTTGCTTAGTCCACGATTCTCTTAACCCTCTATATTACTGATACACCATGAGTTAATAAATGATTCCCCACTGATGTTGTTTCTTGTGGTTTGCTACGTTCTATATCACTGCAGCAAGTAACCTCTTTTGGGATCTATTTTGATATTCTTAGCTTTGGGTGCCTTTGGATGAATCATAATGAAACTACTGGGTCTGAAAATTTGATGATTCTCAGGTATCTTGCCATGTGGCTCTCAAAGAATTTAAAAGATTTAACAGTTTTTGTCTATTTGGCAAGAATTTTTTTAATGGAAATCAATTCTACCTATTTGTCATGTTTGGTGACATTACCCATGTCCCAGATAATCAGAACAATGGCTTTTGTTGGTTGAAACTTGTCACTAGTAAGGCTTTCGGTTTGACACATTAAAATACATCATCCCTGAATACAGAATATAAGCTTAGTCCCAATGTCTTTGGGACTAAGTTGCACACAATCTTTTTTTTTTTTTTTTTTTTTTTTTTAAGAAGGAGTCTCACTCTGTTACCAGGCTGGAGTGCAGTGTCACGATCTTGGCTCACTGCAACCTCTGGCTCCTGGGTTCAAGCAATTCTCCCGCCTCAGCCACCAGAGTAACTGTGTTACAGGCATGCAACACCATGCCCAGCTAATGTTTGTATTTTTAGTAGAGATGGGATTTCACCATGTTGGCCAGGCTGGTCTTGAACTCCTGACCTCAAGTTATCTGCCTGCTTCAGCCTCCCAAAGTGCTGGGATTATAGGCATGAACCATGTGCCTGGAAACATGATCTTTTAAAATACTATTGATCTTAGGAAATACATTAGACTTATGTAAGTAGATTTAGTCAAAAATCATATTATTTCTGAAAAAAAGAAACAACCAAGCTCTTAATTGCTCCTATTTTCAAGACTAGCCATAATGTAGTCCAACACCACATTTTGCCCAGTTACGTCCAGTGAAACTTTGTGCCATGATAGAAGTGTTGTATAGTTTTGCACTAATACGGTATCTACTAACTACGTATGACGACTGAGAAGTTGAAATGTAATTAATTTAACTGAGGAACTACATTTTTTATTTTATTTTAATTTAATTTATTGGGCAGTAGTTAACACATTGGGTAGTGCAGCTTTAGAGTTTTCCCTTCCCTTCCCTTCCCTTCCCTTCCCTTCCCTTCCTTTCCTTGTCCCTGTCCCTGTCCCTGTCCCTTTCCCTTTCCCTTTCCCTTTCCCTTTCCCTTTCCCTTTCTTTCCTTTCCTTTCTCCTTTTCTTTCTTTTTTTTGGTAGGATCTTACTCTGTCACCCAGGCTGGAGTGCTGTGGCACAATCATGGCTCAATGCAGCCTCGACCTCCTGGGCTCAAGCAATCCTCCTACCTCAGCCTCCCAAGTAACTGGGACTACAGGTGCATGCCACCATGCCTGGCTAATTTTTGTATTTCTTGTAAAGACAGGGATTTGCCATGCTGCCTAGGTTGATCTCAAACTCCTAGGGTCAAGTAATCTACCTGCCTCGGCCTCCCAAAGTGTTAGGATTATGGGCATGAACCACAACCATGCCCATTTCTAATAATACGTATTTATTCTCATGAGCTTATCTCAGGATAGTTAATTAGGTATATTCTTAAAATAAAATTTGCATTTTGAATTTCTGAGTGGTTATATCTGAAGTCATCTTTCCCTCAGTGTGTGACTATAACTTTCATTCAGATAAAAATGTGTGTGGTTCCAGGAACAGAAAACCAAACACCACATGCTCTCATTTGTAAGTGGGAGCTGAACAATGAGAACACATGGATACAGGGAGGGGAACAACACGCACTGGGGCCTGTTGGCAGGGTCAGTGGGGAGATCATCAGGATAAATAGCTAATGCATGCAGGGCTTAATACCTAGGTGATAGGTTGATGAGTACAGCAAACCACCATGGCACATATTTACATAACAAACCTGCACATCCTGCACATGTATCCTGGAATTTGAAATTAAATTTTTAAAAAATGTGTGTGGTCCTAAACAAATAACAAGTGTAAAATTATTTTATTCCATTGCAAGGCATTGTGTCTTATAAAAACTAAAGAAATAGAGAAATTTGGTGTATAATCTGGATAATGGAAAACCTGAGTTCTAGCCCATTTGCTGGGAATCACTTTTCCAACCTATGTCTTTAGGCCTCATCTATAAAATGAACAGTTTGATTTGAATGTTTAGTTAGACTTCTCCAATTTGGGCATTCTTCTTCCTTTGTCTCCACCTCAGTCACCATAAGATGTACACTTTCAAACTTTATTCTGGGAAATTCCCATTCCCTGTATCTATGGTCTCTCTGGGAAAAAAACAGATAAAAACACTAGAATGTGATTGTCAGCTTTAGTTAATGGGACAGCTGTTCTCTGCACTCAGATGCTGTGCTGAGAAAAGGAGACAAGTTTGTCTTGATCACAAACCATCCTGAACATTGCAGGATGAAATGATTTCATTTGAAACATCTGAATCAATTAAGAAATATTGTTTGTGTTTTATTTTGTTTACTCCCACAAGCAAAAGCAAAAAAATATGCTGCTTCTGAAATGCCAATGCCAAGAATACTCTATCTTATGCATTTTAATTCTAAGAGAACATGTTTAAACAAGAAAGTGGATATTCCTCCATAAATAAAATTGAATATTTAAATATATAAATGCATTAAGGAATCTATGCGAATTCCAGAAGCACAAGATAAAATGCGCTAATGAATGTTTCTTCTGAACATAGGAAAAATGAGCAATTTTTTCTCTTGTCCAAGAATACATAGTGCAACATACCCACGTACTTCCACAACATTTTATATTTTCAGCATAAAGCCATAGGTAAGGCTCTGAAATGGACCACAAATCTGTATCTAGTTAACAGAACAATTTCTACAAAATGTCTTTCTTTTATGTAGCTATGTATCCAAACTGTTTCAGAAACAGATTTATATCTAGATTGCTTCCATTTTCACAGTTTTAAGAATTCACACCCTATAGACTTTATGAAGCTCCTTTTAAACCAAAGTTTTTTCATACAGTAATGGATGGCTCATACAGTAATGGATGGCTCCCAGAAACTTTAGAATAGAGGTTTCAGTTCAAAGTAGAGATATGAAAATTGTATTTATGTAACTGGAGTATTTACCACAGAAAGAAAAAGTAAAAAATTAAGATAAAACTGTCTTTGTTCCTACATCTTTGTCTACCTAAGGAAAAAATATATGAAGTAAATTAATAATAATAGAAAAAAGCAACATAAAATATAGTATAATAAAATAATTATAAAAGAAAAATAATAAGACTATGCTGCATCTGAATATTTGCATTTGTGAAATGGGAGTTTGGGGTTCTCTCATTCATTTAAATTCTGTACCTTTAAGTTAAGTTTATAAAAAAAAAGACATTTAAAGAAGTTCTCCAGCAAAAGCAGGAAGGCATATGCCTGGTGGCCACCACCAACTCACAGGCTCAGTCTCATAAATAGGCAGCTAATTATAAAGTGCCTTTTGAAAAACATACAGCCTGACGTCATTTTCTATGGTGACACTTTGTGCCAAAATACATACAGAATTAGGGTTGGGTTAATTACTGTCCCATGGAGATTTTAAAACTTTTCTTCCTTCTCAATAATTAGTTTAATGCTGTGAAAAAAAATCCAAAAACACACATCCCAGAAAGGCTCCAAGTAAGACAAAACATAGTAAGTGTGCCAAGCATCCACAACCCACTGCATATGGATGGTGAGTTGATTAATATGGCGTTATAAGGCAAAACAAAAATTGAATCTTCACTATGCCCTTTCGGTTACTGTTTTAAAGGGAGGCAGGACAGAAGGGATGAATAATAGACCTAATAGGGAAACATTTCATTGGGTTTTTCATTATAGTAAAAACATCTCAGTAGAGAGGTAAAATGCATTTACTAAATTCACTGGAATGGAGATGTGATTGTTAGAACACTTTAGATGCTTTATAAATTGATTTTGCACTAATCTCCTTTTTGAAATCTGAGCACAAGGAAGAAAAGAAGTATCTCCTTTCATAATACAGCTGGAGGACACTGAAAATGGTCTTTATTTCCAGACATTTTGGATTATGGGTTTTATTCTGACAATCATTTTGAACAGAGAAATGGAAGTATCAGCTATTAAAAATAAATTAACTCCCAAATTGTGATTACAACCTCAACTTTAGCGAGTTTATCAATGGGGAAAAATCTTTTTCTAAATATTCGTTTTAGCATATGTGTCTTTTATATTTGGCCAATTTAGCTCTTGCCTTCAAATGTGAAAGTGATCTCTAATTGTTATTAACAGAGCTAATAAAGTCATGTAAGTTATATCCAGCCAACTGAAAAACACAAGATAATATATAAACTGAATCTTATTATTTTTATTAATATGTACATTATATATGTGTATAAAATATATACATTAATGTACTCTATGTACATAAAATATATATATTAATATACACTTTAAATATATTTGTGTTTAATTACACAAACATATTTTTAATGTATAAAATTTTGCAGGTTTGCCAAGGGTAGCAAAAAAACTATACCAGAAAAAAAAGGCATTGTATGAAAACAGTATCATAACTACTTATAGCTAACAACTAAAAATGAAAAAAGTCCACAGCTGATAGGAGTGGAAAATTAAGAAGGATATATTTTATGTATACAAAATCCTCACATATTGTGAATACAAGTCGAGTCTGACTGAAGACCCTAGCCAAACTCATTTACCCAGGTGAGATTAGCAATTGGACAGATTAATAGCAGTTTCCACTTGGAAACAAGAAAATGAAGCTCTCATCTACACTTCTGGCCCTTCTCTTTTAAAACAGGGCAGCAGCCTTGCCATTCCAGGAGGTGGCTATGTTTGGCAAAGTGTTACAAGAATCGAGAGTGATGGGAAAACTCCCATTCCTGTTAGAATCGATTCCATAACACTGCCTTGTCAATAAACTGAGGTTAAACCATGGTGGGAGTGATTTCAAAATGCTATGCTTCTTGGATCCAGAAAAAAAATAGAGATGTGACAACTGGCTATTCTTTACCCATTTCCTAATGAAAGAATAGAAGCTGCCACTGCCGAGGCATTTGAGATACATTCTTTTTTTCTGTGACGCCTACTGGTTTCAAGAAGGCATCGTTTGAGAAGAGAGTAGTTTTATTTGAATTGTGATATTTTTGATTACCTCTCTTCCAGTTGATAAGTTGATGATTTAGGCAGGTAATGAACTAACCAGATTTGGGAAGAGTTAGCAAATCAGTGAAATGTGTCCTTCACATCCTTCTACCACCTGTCTTTTTTCTATCCATCTATCACCTAACTTACATCTCCAAAATCTAGTTAATGTGATGTTATTTGCTATCACGGCAACTGACTCAGTTCTGTGCACTAAAGTAACATTTCCTTCCCTCCATAACACAGTTCACCCTGTTCAGTCCTCTAATCATTGCCAAGAAGACAAAATTGATTTAATAAATGAGGTGTACATTAGTTTTGAATGGTATTCACTGCCTAATACTTTAATGACCCCATGGGTGTTCGTAGTTTAGAACAAGTCAGTAGAGAATCCAAGGAATGATTGCATTTGTCTTTTCTTGTTTTTGATCGTTTTGCATATACCTGAATGAAAGTAAATCCTTAAGGAAATATTTTTGCATAAACCAAAACCTGAATGACCTGGTTAGGCTATTTTATAGTTAATTTATATACATTTATAGTTAAATTATATAAATATATATCTATATAAATATATAAATATAATTATAAACATATACATTTATATATTTCTGTTTACATAAACATAGTTCAATTATATAAATATATAGTTAAATTATAAAGCATATAGACACACATATATGTATATCTATATATTTGTGCATAGAAAGATGATACTTTAAAATATTAATTACAAAGCATAGTATAGTAAATGAATAAGCCAGTAATGTAGTCATTTATTTTCAAGTATCATATACTGTACAGAATGTGTTGTACTCTTATGCAACAAGCAGCATAGGTTAGTTTACACCAACAGCACCACAAATATTTGACTAGTATTTTGTGCTACAATGTTAGGAAGGCTGTGACATCACTAGGTGATAGTCATCTTCCAGCTCCATTACAATCTTATGGGACCTCCATCTTACATGCGGTTCAGCATTGATAAAAACATCTCTATGTGACACATGGCTATGCTTGATATATTAGATCATATCAGCTCTTATTCAAAATCCATCACCTTTAAGACATCTATATTTGGTCTTTGAGCTATCCAAAATAGAAATATATTAAACATATTTTTGTTAAGTGTTTTCAATTTATCATGATTGACAGTTCTCTGTTGGTGCTAGAAAATTTCCATTTTGACTTCATTATTTTTGCCTGAAGATGCCAGGTTAAAGTTGATATCTGAGAATTGCAACAGTTCTATTCCTATTAATTATGTCATCATACTAATGTTCTTGGTTGTTGACAGCTTGTAAAGATTTTTATCCTTAGATTTTTATGATAAATTATTTTCATTCCCTTTAAGTAAATTGGATTCTCCTAATCTTCTGAGCCTTCTATCCAGTCAGATCAGATATAAATGTTAAAATGTTAACACACACCATTTAAAACAATACAAAACAAGAAGAACCTGCAAAAAATCAAATCTTCTGCAATTCTCTTTTATGACAGTCACATTACTAAATATATTAATATTGTTTTATATGTTATATCTTTAACTTTTAATTTAGTAATCTAAAATTTTATTTTTGAAAAATTATAAAGTCTTATCACCCAAGTTTGCAGACAATTGGTGGCTCAGAAAGGTATTAAATGATGTATACAAGGTCACAAAACCAGTAAATGAAGAGACTGGTGTGGAAATGAGACCTGCCTTCCTCCAAAGACCAGATCCTGTCATACATAATTTCAACTCACCAGGGTCCTCAGGGTATGTGATATTTAATCCCCAGTCATAATACTTAAATACCATTTAGAAATGAGACAATTCCTAAGTAATTCTAATGGATTAAAAACAATCTGGAAAAAAAAAAAAATCTAGTAGTGCATGGTGGCTCACGCCGGTAATCCCAGCACTTTGGGAGGCTGAGGCAGGTGGATCATGAGGTCAGGAGTTCAAGACCAGCCTAGCCAACATGGTGAAACCCTGTCTCTACTATTAAAAAATTTTTTTAAAAAGTACGAAAGTACAAAAAAAGTCTGCTCCTTTTAAATGAGTTTGTTTGCAATAGCAGGGAACAGAAAATACTGATTAAAAACTAAAACTCTGGTGGAAGGAGAAGGGCAAGTGTGGCTGTCAACGTGGGATCGCCAGGGTCCTAAAGACAGATGCTGGCTGAAAAGGACAATCCACTTATTTAAGCATATACTTTTTTATTATTTATTTATTTATTTTTTGAGACGGAGTCTCACTCTGTTGCCAGGCTGGTGTGATGTCGGCTCACTGCAACCTCCGCCTCCTGGATTCAAGCAATTCTCCTGGCTCAGCCTCCTGAGTAGCTGGGAAACAGTTTGTCTTTTTTTTCCTTTTGGCTGTTTTCATTTGTTTTTTAAATTAAAAAATTAGATTCCTGAGCAAGATGGCCAAATAGGAACAGCTCCGGTCTACAGCTTCCAGCAAGACCAACAGAGAAGGCAGGTGATTACTGCATTTCCAACTGAGGTAGCCAGTTCATCTCACTGGGACCAGTTAGACAGTGGGTGCAGCCCACAGAGGGTAAGCAGAAGCAGGGTGGGGCATTGCCTCACCCGGGAAGCACAAGGGGTCAGGGAACTCCCTCCCCTAGCTAAGGGAAGCCATGAGGGACTGTGCTGTGAGGGACAGTGCTCTCTGACCCAGATGCTACGCCTTTCCCATGGTCTTCACAACCCACCCACCAGGAGATTCCCTCAGGTGCCTACACCACAAGGGCCCTGGGTTTCAAGCACAAAACTGGGTGGCTGATTGGGCAGAAGCCAAGCTAGCTGCAGGAGGGTTTTTTTTTTCCCCCATACCCCAGTGACGCCTGGAAAGCCAGCAAGACAGAACTGTTCACTCCCCTGGAAAGGGAGCTGAAGTCAGACAGCCAAGTGTTCTTGTTCAGTGGATCGTACCGCCACAGAGCTCAGCAAGCTAAGATCCACTGGCTTGAAATTCTCACTGCCAGCACAGCAGTGTGAAGTCCACCCAGGGCTCCAGCTTGGTGGGGGGAGGTGGGTCTGCCATTACTGAGGCTTGAGTAGGTGGTTTTCCTGGTCATAGTGTAAACAAAGCCACTGGGAAGTTTGGACTGGGCGGAGCCCACCACTGCTCCTCAAAGCCACTGTAGCCAGACTGCCTCTCCAGATTCCTCCTCTCTGGCAGGACATCTCTGAAAGAAAGGCAGTAGCCTCAGTCAGGGACTTATAGATAAAACTCCCATCTCCCTGGGACAGGGCACCAGGGGGAAGGGGCGGCTGTGGGTACAACTTCAGCAGACTTAAACCTTCCTGCCTGCCAGCTCTGAAGAGAGCAGCGGATCTCCCAGCACAGTGCTCCAGGTCTGCTAAGGGACAGACTGCCTGCCTCCTCAAGTGGGTCCTGACCCCTGTGCCTCCTGACAAGGAAAAACCTCCCAGCAGGGGTCGACAGATATCTCATACAGGAGAGCTCTGGTGGGTGCCCCTCTGGGAGGAAGCTTCCAGAGAAAGGAGCAGGCAGCAGTCTTTGCTGTTATGCAGCCTCTGCTGGTGATACCCAGGTAAACAGGATCTGGAGTGGACCCCCAGCAAACTCCAGCAGACCTACAGAAGAGAGTGCTGACTGTTAGAAGAAAAACTAACAAACAGAAATCAACAGCATCAACATCAGCAAAAAGAACAACCACTCAAAAACTCCATCCAAAGATCACCAACAGCAAAGATCAAAGGTAGATAAATCCACAAAGATGAGGAAAAACCAGCACAAAAAGGCTGAAAATTCCAAAAACCAGAAATGCCCCTTCTCCTCCAAAGGATCACAACTCCTCACCAGCAAGGGAAAAAAAAACTGGATGGAGAATGAGTTTGATGAATTGACAGAAATAGGCTTCAGAATGTGGGTAATAACAAACTCTTCTGAGCTAAAGGAGCATGTTCTAACCCAATGCAAGGAAGCTAAGAACCTTGATAAAAGGTTAGAGGAATTTCTAACTAGAATAACCAGTTTAGAGAAGAACATAAATGACCTGATGGAGCTGAAAAACACAGCACAAGAACTTCATGAAGCATACAGAAATATCAACAGCCAAATGGATCAAGCAGAAGAAAGGCTATCAGAGATTGAAAATCAACTTATTGAAATAAAGTGTGAAGAAAAGATTAGAGAAAAAATGAAAAGAACAAAGCCTCCAAGAAATATGGGATTATGTAAAATGATCAAACCTATGTTTGATTGGTATACCTGAAAGTGACAGGGAGAATGGAATCAAGTTGGAAAACACAATTAAGGATATTATCCAGAACTTCCCCAACCTAGCAAGACAGGCCAACATTCAAATTCTGGGAATACAGAGAACACCACAAAGATACTCCTCGAGAAGAGCAACCCCAAGAAATATAATCGTCAGATTAACCAAGGTTGAAATGAAGGGAAAAAAAATGTTAAGGGCAGCCAGAGAGAAAGGTTACCCACAAAAAGAAGCCCATCAGACTAACAGGGGATCTCTCTGCAGAAACCCTGCAAGCCAGAAGAGAGTGGGGGCCAATATTCAACATTCTTAAAGAAAAGAATTCTCAAAGTAGAATTTCATATCCACCCAAACTAAGCTTCATAAGTGAAGGGGAAATAAAATCCTTTACAGAAAAGCAAATGCTGAGGGATTTTGTCACCACCAGGCCTGCCTTACAAGAGCTCCTGAAGGAAGCACTAAATGTGGAAAGGAAAACCTGGCACAAGCCACTGCAAAAAGAAACCAAAATGTAAAGACCATTGACACTATGAAGAAATTGCATCAACTAACGGGCAAAATAACCAGCTAGCATCATAATGACATGATCAAATTTACACATAGCATTAGTAAACTTAAATGTAAACTGGCCAAATACCCCAATTAAAAGGCACAGACTGGCAAATTGGATAGTCAAGAACCATATGTGTGCTGTATTCAGGAGACCCATCTCGTGAAAAGACACACAATATGCTCAAAATAAAGGGATAGAGGAAGATTTACCAAGCAAATGGAAAGCAAAAAGAAGCAGGGGTTGCAATCCTAGTCTCTGCTAAAACAGATTTTAAACCAACAAAGATCAAAAAAAGACAAAGAAAGGCATTAGATAATGGTAAAGGGATTAATTCAACAAGAAGATTTAACTATTCTAAGTATATATGCACCCAGTACAGGAATACCCAGATTCATAAAGCAAGTCCAGAGAGACCTACAAGGAGACATAGACTCCCACGCAATAACAATGGGAGAATTTAACACCCCACTGTCAATATTAGACAAATCAATGAGACAGAAGGTTAACAAGGATATCCAGGACTTAAACTCAGCTCTGCACCAACCAGACCTAGTAGACATCTACAGAACTCTCCACCCCAAATCAGCAGAATATACATTCTTCTCAGCACCACATCACACTTATTCTAAAATCAACCACATAATTGGAAGTAAAACACTCCTCAGCAAATGCAAAAGAATGGAAATCATAAAAAACTGACTCTCAGACCTCAGTGCAATGAAATTAGAACTCAGAATTAAGAAACTCAAAACCACACAACTACATGGAAACTGAAAAACCTCCTACTGAATAACGACTGGGTAAATAATGAAAGGAAGACCGAAATAAATAAGTTATTTGAAACCAATGAAAATAAAGACACAACCTACTAGAATCTCTGGGACACAGCTAAAGCAATGTTTAGAAGGAAATTTATAGCACTAAATGCCCACAGGAGAAAGCAGGAAAGATCTAAAATCGACACGCTAACATCACAATTAAACGAACTAGAGAAGCAAGAGCAAACAAATTCAAAACCTAGCAGAAGACAAGAAATAACTAAGATCAGAGCAGAATTGAAGGAGACAGAGACATGAAAAACCCATCAAAAAATCAATCCAGGGGCTTTTTTTAAAAAAAAAGATAGATAGATAGACCACTAGCCAGAATAATAACGAAGAAAAGAGAGAAGAATCAAATATACACAATAAAAACTGATAAAAGGGATATCACCACTGATCCCTCAGAAATAAAAACTACCATCAGAGAATACTATAAACACCTCTACACAAATAAACTAGAAAATAGAAAGGGATAAATTCCTGGACACATACACCCTCCCAAGACTACACCAGGAAGAAGTTGAATTCCTGAATAGACCAATAACAAGTTCTGAAATTGAGACAGTAGTTAATATCGTACCAATCAAAAAAAAAAAAAAAAAAAGCCCAGGACCAAACGGATTTACAGCCTAATTCCACCAGAGGTACAAAGAGAAGTTTGTGCCATTCCTTCTGAGACTATTTCCAACAATGGAAAAAGAGGGACTCCTCTCTTACTCGTTTTATGAGGCCAACATCATCACGATACTAAAACCTGGCAGAGACACAACAAAGAAAGAAAATTTCAGGCCAGTATCCCTGATGAACATTGAAACAAAAATCCTCAATAAAATACTGGCAAACTGAATCCAGCAACACATTAAAAAGCTTATCCACCACGATCAAGTCAGCTTCAACCCTGGGATGCAAGTCTGGTTCAACATACGCAGATCAACAAACATAATCCATCACATAAACAGAAACAATGACAAAAACCACATGATTATCTCAATAGATGCAGAAAAGGCGTTCAATAAAATTCAACACTCCTTCATGCTAAAAAACATTCAATAAACTAGGTATTGATGGAAAGTATATCAAAATAATAAGAGCTATTTATGACAAACCTACAGCCAATATCATATTGAATGAGCAAAAGCTGAATCATTCCCTTTGAAAACTGGCACAAGACAAGGATGCCCTCTCTCACCACTCCTATTCAACATAGTATTGGAAGTTCTGGCCAGGGCAATCAGGTAAGAAAAAGAAAGAAAGGTATTCAAATAGGAAGAGAGGAAGTCAAATTATCTTTGCAGATTACAGGATTGTATATTTAGAAAACCCTATCGTCTCAGCCCCCAAACTCCTTAAGCCGATAAGCAACTTCAGCAAAGTCTCAGGATACAAAAATCAATGTGCAAAAATCACAAGCATTCCTATACACCAATAATAGAGAGCCAAATCATGAGCAAACACCCACTCACAATTGCCACAAAGAGAATAAATTACCTAGAAATACAACTTACAAGAGATGTGAAGGGCCTCTTCAAAGAGAACTACACACCACTGCTCATGGAAATAAGAGAGGACACAAACAAATGGAAAAACATTCCATTCTCATGGATAGGAAGAATTAATATCAGGAAAATGGCCATACTGCCCAAAGTAATTTATAGATTCAATGCTATTCCCATCACGCTAACATTGACTTTCTTCACAGAATTAGATAAAAACTAGTTTAAATTTCATATGAAACCAAAAAAGAGCCATAATAGCCAAGACAATCCTAAGCAAAAAAACAAAGCTGGAAGCATCAGGTTACAAGGCTACAGCAACCAAAACAGCATGGAACTGGTACCACAACAGATATATAGACCAGTGGAACAGAACAGAGGCCTTAGCAGTAACACCACACATTTACAACCATCTGATCCTTGACAAACTAGACAAAAACAAGCAATGGGGAAATCTTCCCTATTTAATAAATGGCGTTGGAAAAACTTGCTAGCCATATGCAGAAAACTGAAACTGGACCCCTTCCTTACACCTCATACAAACATTAACTTAAGATGGATTAAAGACTTAAATGTGAGACCTAAAACCATAAAAACCCTACAAGAAAAACTAGGCAATACCATTCAGGACATAGGCATGGACAAAGACTTCATGACTAAAACACCAAAAGCAATGGCAACAAAAGCCAAAATAGGCAAATAGGATCTAATTAAACTAAAGAGCTTATGCACAGCAAAAGAAACTATCATCAGAGTGAACAGGCAACCTACAGAATGGGAGAAAATTTTTGCAATCTGTCCATCTGACAGAGGGCTAATATCCAGACTCCACAAGGAACTCAAACAAATTTACAAGAAAAAAAAAAAAAAAACATCAGAAAGTGGGTGAAGGATCTGAACAGACGTTTCTCAAAAGAAGACATTTATGCAGCCAACAAACATGAAAAAAAGCTCATCATCACTGGTCATTAGAAAAATTCAAATCAGAACCACAATGAGATACCATCTCATGCCAGTTAGATTGGCCATGATTAAACAGTAAGGAAACAACAGATGCTACAGAGGATGTGGAGAAATAGGAATGCTTTTACACTGTTGATGGTAGCGTAAATTAGTTCAACCATTGTGGGAGACAGTATGGCAATTCCTCAAGTATCTAGAACCAGAAATATCATTTGACCCAGCAATCCCATTACTGGGTATATACCCAAAGGATTATAAATCATCCTACTATAAAGACACATGCACAGGTATGTTTATTGCACCACTATTTACAACAGCAAAGACTTGGAATCAACACAAATGTCCATTAATGTTAGGCCGGATAAAGAAAATATGGCACATATATACCATGGAATACTATGCAGCCATACAAAAGAATGAGTTCATGTCCTTTGCAGGGACATGGATGAAGCTGGAAACCATTGTCCTCAGCAAACTAACACAGGAACAGAAAACCAACCTCCGCATTGGAAGTTCTGGCCAGGGCAATCAGGTTCTCGCTCATAAGTGGGAGTTGAACAATGAGGACATATGGGCACTGGGAGGGGAGCATCACACACTGGGGCCTGTCGACATGTAGGTGGCAAGGGGAGGGATAATGTTAGATGAAATACCTAATGTAGATGACAGGCTGATGGATGCAGCAAACCACCATGGCACATGCATACCTATGTAACAAACCTGCACATTCTGCACATGTATGTCAGAACTTAAGGTATAATAAAAAGAAAAAAATAAGAAACAACAAAAATAAAAGAAAAAAGAGATTATGAAAAAATTAACAAATTAAAATTGTATATATTTATGTTGTACAACATGACGTTTTAAAATATGTACACATTTTTAAAGAAAACTAAACAGCATGATGTTTTAAAATATGTATACATTTTTAAAGAAAACAAAAGAAACCCTAGCTTTCTTTTGATTAAGAAAAATTAAAAAAAAGGACAAAAAGAAAGTATGTGTACATTGTGGAATGGCTTAGTCAAAGTAATTAACACATACATTATCACATATCCTTATCATTTTTTGTGTGTGGTAAGAACACTTAAAATCTTCTCTCTTAGCAATGTTCAAGTATGCGATGCATTGTTGTTTCTTTCATTGTTGTAAAATGGCCTTTTGGAAACATTTTAGCTACCTATAAAGGATGCAGACACATTACACCAATTACTTGTCGAATTATTATTTGGAGTTTAGTAATAAATGAGAAAGTAATGATTCCTAAACAAAACAAAAACAAAAAGCACTAAAACTCTAGATACAGGTCTGGCCTCAAGATTAGTTGATCTAATAGTTCAATCATACCAAGATCCAGGCTTTTCACACCCATATAATCTGTATTCTTTTTGGATATCTTTTACAGTCATATCACTAGCAAGAGGTCTACAGCACCTCTGTATCTTTCAATGTCCAAAGGAAAGAGAAGGGCCCATTTCATTTTCTGTCTCTTTCTTAAGAATGTGGAAAAATACCTAGCAGATAATTTCATTTTGACTTACTAGCCAAATTAGGTCATATTCCCATTCCAGTAACCACTGGCATTGGAAATAACATTACTATTTTTGGTTTAGAGCAAATAATTAAGATTTAACAAATAAATAGCACTGATTCAACCGCTGTATTTTTTTTATTTTGTATTTTTTTTTTTTATTATACTTTAAGTTTAAGGGTACATGTGCACAACGTGCAGGTTAGTTACATACGTATACATGTGCCAACATGACTGTAAACTAGTTCAATTGCTGTATTTTTAAAGGTACAACCATCTACACATCCCATATTTATTTTCCAAGGGCCATTTTAATCTGTTTGTAAAATTCAAGGCTACCTGCTCATAGAATCAAAAATAAGTGACTAGAGCACCAATAATGTCTCAGAATTTATCTGCATCTTTCAAAGTTAGAGTTCCAAAAAATATGGCTCCAAAAAGTTTATTCTGCTGTTTATTCACTTCTACTAGCCATGTAAAGCTCCTTATATAAAACTCCTCATACTCTCTAACCACTGTTGTCTGAACTATCAGTGAGAGATAAACAAATAATATTTTGAACCATATGAAGACACTAATATTTAACCAATATTTGCAACTGAAAATGTAACAATTTCAAGTTGTTACTATATGAACACCAATGTTTAAGTGAGATAAATATTTCTAAAATTTTGAGCATACTGCTTAGCAGGTAACTATTATGGAATAAATGGTTTAGGAATCTGCATAAACTTGTTTTGAACATAGTTGCTTTGTATCCTTACCAATGTTAAGATAACAGATTCCTTAGTTTTACTACTTTAGAGAAAGGAAGATAGAGAATAGAGAAAGCTCTCTGCCCTTCAATTGGTTAGAAATATCGTATTTCATCAGAGAGAGTGAGAAAGAGAGAGAAAATCCAAACTTGAGACATTGATTAGTTAACTTGGGTGTTTTGAAAATTGTTGATAATGATGGCTCAGGTGAGATGAAAAAGGGATGCTAGTAGGGAATGTCAGCCCATTGGGAAGTAAAAACTATAGGAAATGAAAGAATAATTCTAAGACGGGGATTTTCAGATGCCTGCGAGGAGTTCCCAGTCAACTACCTAGTACATAGGGTTGGTCTCGTCCTAATTGCTGGTATTAAAGGACTGAGAGTAAGTCCAGATATCAAATGAAAATGAGAATAATAATAGTAGACTAGAATGGCTGCTTGGCCCCTTAATGGGAGTAAATAGAGGAAACAGTCATCCAATGTGGCTATTGCACTATCCAGGGGTCAGTTCGTCACCAGGCAAGTGGTTCTCAAATTTCAATATAGATTAGAATGAAAATTCAGTATAGATTAGAATTTCAATAGAGATTAGAATCTCAATAGGCTCAGAAATGTCACTTCTCAAATTCTACAAAAGATGTTTGGAACAGGCTGAATGAAAACACAGGTTTCGTTCTGTGCTCACAGTGCTGTATTATACCCTGCTCTAATGGGTAAGAAGTGTCACTTTGCAAATTCTACAAAAAGAGTGTTTGGAGCTTGGTGAATGAAAACACCACAGAGTTGTAGAATCAGTTGTTTAGGTGGGACACAAGATGGTGGATTTCTGACAATTTACCAGGTGATTGTAATGTTTATGATCTAGGACCCACTTGAGAACCACGGTTCTACTATTAACCTTAGATTATAGGGTAAGTAGCACAATAAAAATTTTGATCAATTATGGAGTTAATTGGAGAGATGTTGGTTAAATGATACAAAATTTCAGTTAGATAAAAATAATAAATCCTAGATCTGTTTGACAATACAGTGACCATAGTTAATAATAATATATTATAGTTTTGAAACTTGCTAAAAGAGTAGATTTTACCTGTTCTCACCATAAAAATAATAGTAAGTGTGTAAGGTAATGCATTTGTAAATTAGCTCAATGTAACCATTCTACAATGTATACACATTTAAAAACATGTATACAATAAATATATGCAATTATTATTTGTCAATTTTAAAATAAATAAGAAAAACAAATTTGATCCAAAAAAGTCTGCAGGATAAGAACTGAAGATCACTGGGCCTTCTCTGCTATATATAAGGACATTCTGAAGAATGTTAAGAGTTGGGATGTGAGGCTATCCACATTGGGATGCAGGAGGCAGAAGCTGCATGGGGCTGAGCTAATTGGAATAGAGTTGTAGTGTTCAAAATCCAGCATGGAAATCTGGCACCTGAGTGCTACATTGGATTTTTCACTGTCCCCTAAAGACAAACAGGTGTAAGTGATAATGAATTAATAACATCAACTATTGTAGTCCAACTGCGTAATAACCTTGCACTGTGAAGCATAAGGAAATTGTCGTGATTTATAATGCAAGCCTGAAGTGCAAGAAACATTATGGCTAATCACTTGACAACAGCATATATTCAATGCTAGGGAAGGGAAATAGAGTGGGAACAGGCATGTACCAATAAGAGAAGATGAAATGATTGTATTATACCCTGCTCAAGCAAGAAATGAGAGACTAGAGTGTGGTTACTGGAAGCCCTAAGTTAACTGTTGGCAGCTAGCCACTAACATGGCCAAATCAGTGTTTCCTATGAATGTGCCTTCTATTTAGCAATCTTGGTTGGCTTACACTGAAAAAGAAAAATGCGTTTTCTCAGAACTTAATTATGTCCAGTATTTTTATTGCCTCCCAGGCTGTATTATTCTATTAGGGCTGTCAAAAGAAAATATCACAGACAGGGTAACATAAACATTATTTCTCATACTTCTGGAGGCTGGAAGTCCATAATCACAGTGACAGCAGATTCAGTTTCTGGTGAGGGCTCTCTCCCTGGCTTACAGATGGATGCCTTCTTGCTGTGTCCTCAAGCAGCCTTTCCCTAAATGCAGGCTGAGAGAAAGAAAAAGTGAACTCTGCTCTCTTTTCTTATAAGGACACTAACCTTGTCAGTTCAGGACACCACCTTTGTGACCTGAATTACTTCCTTTAGAGGCCTCATCTCCAAATGCAACAGCAATGGGAGTTAGGGCTTCAACATATGAATTGGTATGGGGAGAGAAGGGGTATGCGTATTCAGTCCATAACACTGACCATGACAAGCCATAAGAAAAGTCTTATCACAGCAGGACAAGGATTGGGACTAAGAAACTACATAAACTGAACCATGAATCTTGAGTTTTAGCAAGCAGGTATATAGATTTTGACTTAGCAATAATGAAGATTACTCCATTTCCTTATCTTAAACTAGACACATTTAATTCAAAATTAATGATAGAACTTCTAAAAACTTAGTAATAATGTTTTAAATAATTAGATGGCAGATGCAGTGGATATTCTTTAAAACCATGTTGATCATTAATCTTTCTTTTTATATTTTCTAAATTCACACAACTTCCATATGTAATCAGTGTAAGTGAACAAAAAATGTTTCTTCCTGTAAAAGTGGGAAAGTTGTTTGTAGACTTTTTGTTTATCAATTCTAATAATTAACAAGAGAGGTTGATTGATAAGTGGAAAATAAAGTGAAGAAGTGAAAAATTCCATTTGGTTCCCAGAGCATATAATGTTGAACAAAGTAACTAATATTAACAAATCTTAACAAAACATAATTTATCTTTTTTCTTTTGTTTTACTGTTCTTTATTCATAAGCCCTTGGAATTTGAACGTGAATTCTTTTCTAAACTCTCTAAATCTTTTTTCTTAAAGTCAAACATGGACAGCTCAAGAGAATACAAATTTGATTTGCCTAGAAGAAGAAAGAGCAGCTGATCAAAACCTATTTTACCAGTTCAAGGAAACCATAACAGTGATGTATCACCAGATGGTAAACGGATTAAGGTTACCTCTGATGATGTTTACTATTTTCAAGTCCATGTTCTTTGCAATTTTTATGTTATTTGCCTTTCCAGCTATTTCATTTATTGTAAAAATTTATTAGTCACAACTCTAAAATCTGCTTTTTCTATTCCATTATTTTAATGCAGATTTGCAGGAGCACTAAAAAATCAGTTTCATAGTTAAAGGAGGGGATGTTGAAATAGATCATACAATCAAATGCTTGGTAGTAAAATAAAGACATAGAAATAATGTTGGTAGGATGAAGGCTGGTGTTTGGGAGATTTGCTGAGTAATAAGTGGAAACACAATATCACTGTGCATTTTTCTTTTGATTTATGCTTATATCTGTTTTTCTTTGATAGGAGGATTTGCTGTCTTAATACTACTGTGTTGATTATTGCCACTGTAATATTATCTCTATAACTTTATCATGAAGTGTTATGGATCCTATCTGCACTTTAGGTAGTCGATAGAAGTTACACAAGTACATATCTCTTAGATTTTTGGCACTCTGGAAATTCAAGTTAGTTTCTGTGTAAGATCTTTGAAAGAATAATATTTCCATTTTCTGAAATAGAGACTATCAGATTGGGAAAAAATGAATTATAGTATACTTCTTTAAAATATCATAGGATATTTCTCTACCTAGTCCATCAATTATATAAGAGTCAGTCTTTATTTTTCTAGATGTTTCAAATGTTGTGATTCTGGATTGAAATTATTTTTTATGGAATTAAAGAATATATGTCATCTATAGATTTATTCTTCTTCAGCACCGGGTATATGCCCACCCTTTCTTCATTCCACTTGGTAAGTGACCCTGTAAGTCACTGCCTTAGCGTTTAACAGTTTTGAAGATCAGTTAACCACAAGGATCCTTTCCATCTGTAGAGGACTAATAGACATAACAGAGTCAAGAATAATGACTCTCCTTCTTTGGAAATTCAATCGCTTTCTTCCTCTTGGCCAGTTCACTTCATCCTAAATGATGTCATGTCTTAACTCTAGGCTAAGAGAAGTTTGAAATAGGTGATGGCCAGGCGCGGTGGCTCACGCCTGTAATCCCAGCACTTTGGAACGCCGAGGCAGGCAGATCACCTGAGGTCAGCAGTTCGAGACCAGCCTGGCTAACATGGTGAAACCCCATCTCTACTAAAAATACAAAAATTAGCCAGGCATGGTGGTGGGTGTCTGTAATCCCAGCTACTTGGAGGCTGAGGCGGGAGAATTGCTTGAGAATTGCTGAGAATTGCTGAGGCGGAGGTTGCAGTAAGCCGAGATTGTGCCACTGCACTCCAGCCTGGGCGACAGAGTGAGAATCTGTCTCAAAAAAAGAAAAGAAAAGAAATAGGGAAATAGGTGATGAATGCTTATAGCAAATAATATATTCTATCTGGAAGTTGAACACACAGTAGAAAAACTTTGGTAGAAAATATCTAAAAAACAGGCAAAATTTAGAGACAGTATTGCACTTGTATATACAACAGGAAAATATAAAAATGCTGAAAAACATATTACATGAAAATATAGCAAAGTTGATGGTCTCTTCTGTGAGTCTCTTTTTTCAGGAAATATTATTTTAGGGGGAACAGTTAACTCAATTGGTCCTATTACAATTCATTATCATTCTTAAATCCTCCCTAGAATGTTAAAGAAATACATTTTTTTTTCTGATTATCAAGGAAACAATTGTTGACGGAATTAGGGATGAGGGATTTATTCTTCTATAATAATTATAAGAGATGGCTTATCATGATGAATAACTTTCAGCAGTTTTTACTGGCATTATATTCTTACTACCTTTCCAAGGTCAAAAATTTAAAATGAGAAATATATACATATTATATATGTACAGAATATATTTATATATAAATACTTATGTGTGTGGGTGTTTGGGTCAGTTACTACAACTCATATTTTCAACAGATAAAAACATGTCTTCATATATATAATAATTCTTTCTATGTGTATTTTCATCATATATAAACAAACTCCTTAGAGTAATAGAGCAGAATTTATGCACATAGCAAGTACACAGAAAGTAATTCATGTTCATTGGCAAGCTAGTTTGCATAAGGAAAAAGTGGGAAGACTAGGAATATTTGCATTAGCAGATTCCAGGTGGTAACCGCTTGGATGAATGGATAAATCAGATGAAATTTTCAATGCACATTTTTCATGAGCTGAATGGCCAGATCCCAGAAGAAGATATTCTGAGAGACAAAACATTTTCATCAGGGTTGAAAATATTGAGAAAGAATTAAAAATGCCAAGTAAATTTTCAACAGTTGTTTCAATTAGCCAAAGCCATCTGAAACCTCTTTGCAAACAAGAAAATAAAAACACATGGACCTATTCCTCTCTCTCTCACTTACATTTTCAAATTGTAGAATTACTACTCAGTGAGAAAGTTTCAAATGTTAAAAGAAGGTAGAGTTTTCAGTTCACCTGGAGTTCTCAGAAAAGTTACATTAAAAATACCAGTAGAGTTATCTACTGCTATATAGTATCCTTTTCACAATAAAGCCCTAAAAGCAGCCAATGTTTGGGATTATTTTGGCACTAGTAGATGCATTTAATTAAATGTGTTATTTTCAATGGTATTTTTTGTTATAAGTCTAAAATATATTATTTCCAAAACAGCAAATGAACAGCTGTATACATGTGAGGGTGTGTATATATATATATATATAGTTTAAGCATCATTGGCTATTTTCCTCTATTTTTTTTTTCTGAGATGGGATCTCTGTCACCCAGGTGGCAGTGCAGTCATGTGATCATGGCTCACTGCAGCCTGGATTTCCTGGGCTCAAGCAATCCTACCTCTTCAGCCTCACCAGTAGCTGGGACCACAGGCACATACCACCATACCGGCTAATTAATTTTTTTTTTTTTTTTTTTTTGAAGAGACAGGGTCTCCATATGTTTCCCAGGCTGGTCTCAAACACCTGGTCTCTAGTGATCCTTCTGCCTAGGCCTCTCAAAGTGCTAGGATTACAGGTCTGAGCCACTGTGCCCAGCCCCTCCCCTCTTGAATGCTAGGATTTCAGTAGTTTTAATAATCTTCACAATATGCCGGTTTATTTGGCTATCAAATAGATTAAAATATTTTTTCAGCTTTTGCTATTATTCTTCCATAATAATAAATGCAATTATTATTGTACCTATGGAAGAAGGGGCTCCAGCGTGATTTATCCTAAACATAAATTGTAATCAATGCTAACTCTAAATAAGCATTATGCAATTTCCTGGACATCATAAAGTTTATTTTTATATATTTAATATAGCGGGGATTGATTTTGAGTAACTATAGCATTAAGATTTGAAACCTGAAATGAATCTTTGAAATTAACTAGTACAGAAGTTATCAAATTTCAGGTCACAACTGCCTAGACAGGTGAGCAAGCATCAAAAAATAAGACCTTTAATTCATAAGTGCATAGATGAATTGCATCACATAATACTACTAAATGTACAATAACAGTAAAACGGAGGATCTCATTTTTATAGTAAAATGTCCAATACAAACAAACCGATTTTAACACCGTTCTTTAAGAGTTTAGGGAATGGAAGCTGGCAAAAACAAGAGATTTATTACAGGCCATGTCACTAGTGAGATGCCATAACATAAAGCCCTGATTGTCCTGTGATGTTGAGGAACTGGATGGAACTATAGATACGGAGGTGACATGATAATAAAGATGATAATGGTGGATGAGGTAATAATAACAATAATGGTCACTTAGGAGGTCTTTTGTTGTTCTGGGACTTTCTATACTTTATCTCATTAATACAATCACCCTATGAGATAGGTGATTTTTTAGAACAAGGGGAGGTAAAGCTCAGAGAGATTAAATAACTTGCTGTAGGACATCTAGCAAAGTAAACATCGACGTTGAGTCAAATTTTGGCCTAAATCCAAAGCCAGTGCTTAAACAACAACAGCAAAACCCTATGGGACACAGGACTTTTCTCCTTGAGAGTTATATTATAAAATAAATTTGCTTAGAAATCTGAAATGGATTTCTATCTTACTAGGAGACAGTGACCTAAGGAGAACATAAAAGAGTGATTTTCAATCATCTTTGATGCCCCCTAAAGAGTGCATAAGATCAATTCTATAACTTTCTTTCTATATGTATTTTTATTATTGGCATATAAAACAATATCAGAGCATATGATATACTTAACATCTAAGTGCACCTCACTTGCTACAACAGAATGAGTGAGGCCTTAGGGCAAATACAATCCATGATCATATGATCAGCTCTCACAAAGTTTTGCTCTTCATGGGGAATGAGATGGAATCCTTTCTCAGGTAGTGAAGGTATGATGGCATAGGTTCTTACACCTTCCTGTAACAGGAGGTCTACATTTAAGAGAAGATTGGTGAGGTTGGGGGTGCAAATAGGTACCCCTGGAGACAGAACTCTGTGTAGTCATTAACAAACTGGTCATATGACTCTGGATTTTTAAGTGTGCTATTTTCGTGATAACTAATGTTTCCATCTTAGATTATTCAATTTTTCTTTTTGAACGTACAGTGACTGGAATTAAGTTGTGACACACTTACCAATGTAGCAAATTAAATGCTATAAATATGAAGTATGTTGGATAACTAATTTAAAATCCAAAAATATCTTCACCAAAGACAGCATCAGACCAAAACTAACAAGATACAATGTAATGAAAACACACACCAGCAAATTTAATTGACATTGTATTTTTACTGCTTCTTGCTGACGGAAAGGAATGCTATTAATATTTTTATTATTTAATCTGGTCAACATATTAATATTTCTCTTAATTATAAAATGTTAGTAAATTATTTGGTGTTTTGTAAATATACGACCATATAATCTTCAAATACCAATGGGCTTATGTCTTTCTTTGTGATATCTAGAATTTTCATATATGTCATGGCTTATTTTGCATTGTCTGGGATTTCCCTGTCAATGATAAAGTACATCAATAATATGCTAAAAATTAGGCTTGTTTTCTAACAAATAGATGTATAAAATCAGATTTTTGTGGTCATTAGTACGTTATCTGTGTAACGGTCATGTGTGACATTAAAAAGGAAAACAAATAAAAAATACATACATTCAGAGAGATAGTCTAGAGATGCTTTAATCAAAGGAGTATGGACCACAGACCAGTCTGTGAACTTAGCATCAGTCTCTAAATATGTAAGTACAGAAATGGGAGCAGATGTTTAGAAATTTTACAGCAATTTGACAGAGTAATTTTATGTCTTTTGAGTCTAATAATAAAACATGTGATCTTGCATTTTGTAGAGCTTTGTTTTTTTGAGTTATTCTTTTAGTAACTCTTTTTTTATATTTTACAAAAACGTCAGTCTGTAAAAATAGAGAAAATAAGTTGGCCTTGTTGCTTTGAGAAGCACTTTTATATGAGGGAAAGAAATATCAGGATGGTGGTTGAGCTAAATGAATTTCATGTTTAAGTTTTCTTTAAGCTATACATGAATGCTCCTACTGAAAACTATAGTCCTACAGTTTGGGACACCGTGTGTTGCATTGCAATCAAATAATCAATGTATTGAGAATAGAGTTAGAAAGGGTGCATGCAAATTCAAAATCCAGAATCCCAGGGTGGGTTGCTCAGCTGTGTGTGTGTGTGTGTGTGTGTGTGTGTGTGTGTGTGTCTGTCTGTCTGTCTG
The DNA here is from genome assembly GCF_000001405.40 of Homo sapiens. NCBI lineage: Eukaryota > Metazoa > Chordata > Mammalia > Primates > Hominidae > Homo > Homo sapiens. The sequence continues at coordinate 40,834,896 of NC_000011.10, read as the reverse complement.
TCTGTCTGTCTGCCTGTCTTTTCTTTGCATATGTTTTGCTAAGCCTCTTTCTCAGTCCTACCCAAAAATTCACAATACCCGAGATGTGGCTTTAGACATGTTGAGGGCCAAATTTTTAGAGGATGTGAAGGACAGGACAAAAATAGTAGCTTCCTATTGTGTTTAGCCTGTGTCCATTATTAAGCCACCTCAGTTACACAAAGGGATTTATGGAATCGTTGACTTCTGTCCTTTGAACCCATGGTGTATGGGATGAAAGACATTTACATGAGACATTTGTCCATGGATGCCTATGAATGAATCTTAACAATATTCCTAATTTCTAGTGTGCCAGTTATAACTCCCCTTTCTTTTTTCCCCACTACTAGAAGTAGTATATATTGGATTTCAAGAGATATAAAATACGTTACTTTTTTTTTTTTTTTTGAGATGGAATCTCACTCTATCATGCAGGCTGGAGTGCAGTGGCACGATCTTGGCTCACTGCAACCTCCACCTCCCGAATTCAAGCGATTCTCCTGCCTCAGCCTCCTGAGTACCTGGGATTACAGATGTGTACCACCATGCCTGCCTAATTTTTGTATTTTTAGTAGAGACAGGGTTTTACCATGTTGGCAGGCTGGTCTCGAACTCCTGACCTTGTGACCTGCCCACCTCAGCCTCCCAAAGTGCTGGGATTACAGGCATGAGCCACCGCACCTGGCCAAAACTTTTTAGATTCATTTTAAGTAAATAATTCCTTAGCTTTAGAGATTTATAATTCTGTGAGATTATTTTTTTTAACTCACAAATTACTATGATGGCATGACACTGCAGTTGTGTCCTGCTCATTAAATATAGAGGACACACTCAGACATAAACACACAGGTTTGGTGTGTACACATATAACAAACAGATTTTTTATAAAGAAGTACAGGGTAGAAAGTGATCTTAGAATTCACCTAGATCAGCTCTTTTATATGAAAGATGAAAAATTCAAGGATTTACTGACAGAAATACAACGATTTGCATGTTGATTCTGTGTATCCGCAGAACAGCCGGTTCTCAGTTTTTTAAAATTAATATTAGTCACACACACATTTATGCACAACACTTATCCACAATTCAAAAATTATTTCTAAATGTAATATATACACATTTACATTTTAAGTCGTTTTATATGCCAGAATCAGATACCTTGTGACTTAAGAATAATAATTTAAAATATTTCCTATTTTTTGATAGAAAAATAATCATTTGCTAATTCTTACATTTTCAATAACTGAAAGACATATACAAAATTTATAATTTTGCTAATGGATATGGAAACCAGTAGTCACATGTGGTCCTTGGGTGCAATGAAATGAGGCTGTTCAATTTGGGATGTGTTATAAGGATCTAATGAACTCCAGAGATCAAAGTCATAATATTTAAAAAAATCTCATTGATACTTTTTATATTAGTTTTCAACTCAAAATGACAATATATTGGATATATTTACTGAAATAAAATATATACTTGAAATTAATTTTACCTTTTTTTAACTAAATGTGACAACTGGAAAAAAATTTACATTTTATCAATGTCTCATACAATATTTTTATTGAACAGCACTGGGTTTTGAATTTATCTTTCCTCCTTATCTGTATAAGCAATTTCAATTCTGATAATAATGCCCAGCAGAGACTTTATCTGAGAAGCTATGCTAAGTCAGAGAAAAATTTTGAGTCAGAGTTTGGGAAGTTTTTATCACACGGAATATTAAATGAGTAGCAAGTCAAGATCCACTATGCCTTTGTAACTATTAGCTAACATTATAACCACACCCCACAAATTGAGTTTTGAACAGTTTTAACTAAGATTAAAAAGCCAATAGAATTTTGGCCTTAAAATAGGTTAATTCAATATGATAGCATTTTACAAGAATACAAAAATATGCCATGGTCTTGTGAAACCTCCTTATGCTTGTGTTGAGCTGCATGTTTTTCTATCTACAACCAAAACACACTGCCTTGATAAATGCTTACTACAAATGAACTCGGATGATTTTATATTAATAGGCATAGCATTATAACTTTTTTAATGTGCCAAATTGTTTTACTTCCCAATGTACTACCTCATTCTAGATTCTTTGGTAGTTACATTTAAGTCAAATTTAGTTTATTTGATAGTTCCAAAATTTTTGTAAAGTTCTGAAGATATTTTTAAAATAATAAATGTATCCAATCATGAAGATTTTTTTCAAAGTGTTGTGCCAGAAAAAGTTGGTAGAGAGACACAAGTACTAGATTCCCACCGCGGCTTTTATTTGCTTGCCATTTGTGGCAGTGGCCTTCATCATTAACTAAGACTGAAGTAGGTGTCCTCAAGGCACTTCTGATTCCATCTAGTGTTTTGAGATTCTAGTTTGGGATTTATTAATAAAGTATCGTGTTTCTATCTACTTTTTATTTGTCACAGGAACTGTTATATCTCCAATATCTAGATCAGAGTCTGACATACTAAAATGTATCTTTACATTTGTTTAATTATAATGCAAAAGTAATTTTTCTACAACAATTCTAGATGATTAACCTATCATATTTTTTATACAGGCATGCACCACATAATGACATTTCAACCAATGATGGACTGCATATATGATGGACATCCCATAAGATTATATTAGGGTATTTTTACTGTATCTTTTTTTGTTTAGATATGTTTAGATGAACAATACTTACCATTGTATTGCAATGGTGTACACTATGCAGTAGAGTAACCTGCTGCTCAGGTTTGTAGCCTAGGAGCAGTAGGTTATACCATATAGCCTGGGGGGTGAACTGGGCTATGCCAACTAAGTTTGTGTAAGTACACGCAATAACAATCACACAGTGATATAATTGCTTAACATGGTATTTTAAAAATCATAACTCTACCTATAACTGTATTTTAAATATATTTTTTGATAATTTAAAATCTAAATGTTTCTATTTTATGATATGGTTTGGCTGTGTCCCCACCCAAATCTTATCTTGAATTACAGACCTTATAATCCCCATGTGTCATGGGAGGGACCCAGTGGGAGGTAACTGAATCATGGGGGCAGGTTTCTCCCATGCTGTTCTTGTGATAGTGAATATATTTCATGAGATCCAATGGTTTTATAAAGGACAGTTCCCCTGCACATGCTCTCTTGCCTGCCACCATGTAAAACATGACTTTGCTCCTCCTTTGCCTTCTGCCATGATTGTGAGGCCTCTGCAGCCATGTAGAACTGAGTCCATTAAACCTCTTTTTCTTTATAATTTACCCAGTCTCGGGTATTTCTTCATAGCAGTATGAAAATGAACTAATACATTTTATTCCTATATATTTCAGTTATATGTACTCACAATTTAATATTGAATTACATTTTAAGAATAAATTTCAAATTGTAAATCTAATTATTTATTTTTGTATTATTTTAATGACAAAATAATACTTTGAATTTATGTGACCTTCTGAGGAGGGGAATGGAAGACAGGTTCATCAGATATGTCTGCTTGGAGAGTATTGAGTGGGTCTATTTCAAAACATCATTTAATTCCTGCCTGACTACTAAAGGATTATTTTATAATACACATACATAAATCCTTTCTCCTACCAGAAGGCTGTGAGTTTCAGTTTCTTCACCTTTTATGCATTTACCAGAGAGCAAAAGTAACAATTTCAGAAATTTATCTTATACTTAGGAATAATTACTTAGAATTCAGGAATAATTTCTTAGAACCCAGTGAAGAATCTCTGTGAAATGAAGATTCCAGCTGCAAGCTTGTTGAATTATGCCCCTCTTTTGCTTCTCTATCACTGCTACCCATTGCCTACTGTGTGATATCTGACCTCTAGATAACAACTAAGTAAAGTATCAGTGTTTGAAGCTTTACTAACAAAGTGAAAAAAGTACTGTTTGTGTGGAATTACTGATTCCAACAAGTGTCTTTGGGTGGTTCAAACTGGACATTGTAATTCATTTCAACAGCCACTTTACTGCAGCTAATAAGTTAACACGAACCATGATAATTTCCTCCACCCTCTTTGCCATAGATCAATTCAGGGCCTGACAGTGTTAGGGAAAGAAACAATTCTTTTTATTGCATTCCATGGGAAGTCAGTCATGTAACTAAGAAAAAATATAGATCAACTTGTTATTGGTGACCAACCTACAAACGAAGATGAATCCGCCCCATATGGTGTACGTCGGCATGAAGGGTAGAGGGAGACTCTGACATAAAACAACTCACAACCCTCTCCAGTCTGTTCTCCTTTAGATATGAGCTAACATGCCTCTCCTTTATTTTACACCAATTTGATTTGGGGTTTCTTTTATTTTTCGTAAAGAACTTATTAACTGTTTAACTCAGTATATAATTTCTACAGAAATGGAGGGCTACCACTCAAAATGAACTCTAACCACTTACTCTTTGTTCAGTGTAAGGGCAATTTCTCTTAGAAAACCTAAAACACTGACACAAAGGAGCGTAGAGTCTGCAGTTGGATGGGCTTTGGACGTCAGGAACAGTCAGTAGTTGATAATACTGCTTTGGTTGGCATTTAAAGCAAGTATGGGGAATAATAAGATACTAGCTTGTATTTCATGTATTAACAAAGAAGTGGAAAGTTGAGAAAGAACTGTAGTTAACTGCCTCTAGGCTTTTGGACATACTGTTCCATGTGTTATTAGAGAATATTCATCCATATTCAACCGCAGTTATTGAATAAATTTCAGTAGTTAACATTTCTGCCATTTCCCTTTTTGGTGTTTTGGTCACATCATAGATCTTAATAGCCCGTGCTTGTTTTTATTCCTTAAGGCCTCTAAACATACAATTTTTTCTGCAAGTTATCTTGCTGAGAAACACCTATTCATCCCTCAAGACCCTGCTCAACTGTTAGCTCTTCTGTCAAGTCTTCTTTGAATTAGACTTCACCCCATACATTTCCAGAGGCAATAATATTTATTTTTAGTGTTTTCATAGCAATTCCTGGGGGACTTTAAACACACCTCATTGTGTCTGCGTTATTAGTTTATTTGTATGTTGCTTTTCAATATAGGACGATATCCTAAACACAGGAATTACACTATTTTTAGTTTTACAGCTCCAGCACCTGACACAGTGGTTGATAGATAATGGAATCAATATCAATATATGGGTTTTAAAAAATATTATGGAGAAATATTAACGATTTGATGAATGAATAACAGTAGTAGCAGAATAGAATTTTTTACTTTTCTTTCTACAGCACAGACCTCGATTTGGACGATATTGTTCAAATGTCATTAGTTTTGGCACCTTTGGCAAAATGAATAGCCTTTAAATTTGTTACATAATTTTCAAACATTCCAAAATACTTGGAGTTAAATATCATCCAATAAAATAATTTGAGCAGCCTTTAGCTATATTCAAGAACAAATATGTAGCAAAATCTCTGCATTGCCAAAGAAACTACTAATATTCCTAAGTGACTCTGTAACCATATGTTGCTCTGCAAAAGCAATCCAGAATGTTTCTGCTCTGCAATTCCAGGGGCTGCAAACCTTTCCATCTATAAAGCAAGAATAAGAAAGCATTATGGTTATGTGTCCATACTGTTTCAATATTGGTAGGACTTGATGATCTGAAGGAGTTTTCAAAAGCATATTTTCAATTTTTTTCCCATCCTCAATATCATAGGCAGTGATGCCTAAATTTGTACTCTTTATTGTACTTCATCTTATTTCCCATTGAAAAGCTATCTGCATCAAAGCAGAATTCTTCAAAACAAGATATCTAGTTTATGATGATATAATCATTTCCTTAGAAACCAATTATGATGTAAACATTACTGGGCATCAGGTAGCCGAATGAACAGCAGGAAGTGTTGAATTCTAACCAAGTTTTTTGTTTGTGCATTATTATATTTAGAAACCAGAATAAGACCAGAAAAATGCAGCATATGTGTTAAGGATAAAATTACTTACATCCTAGAAAAAAGATTTTAAATAATTATTTTAGGATATAGCTTTATAAATATTTAGATTTATGGCTCGGGTAGTTTTGATGACTGACTGCCTTAGGAAATAGAATGGAAGCTTAGTCATTCTAAGATACTTAATAACATTTCAGATGCAGAGTTTGCAGACAAATTGTCTAGTACAAGCCCTTTGTTTTCCACAAGAGGAAATGAAATCCTAGAGAGGGTAAACAGCTTGATCTAGGCTAGACAAGGAGGTAGTGGTAGAGCCAGAACAGCAACCAATCTTGTTTAAGACTATTTTTTTTCCTGTCAGTTTTCTGAGTTTAAAATATGGTAGGACACATTTGTATGAAACTTTTCCATATCCAAATCACTTAATGCTAAAAACCTGAATGTTTCCATTTTAGTATAAATGCGAACCATGTAAGTCAAAGACTAAAGCACAGCTAAAAACTTTATATTATCTAAATATATATAAAGAATTTGTTCCTACAATATGTCAATATGTGTTTCCATTAGTCTGAAGACTGAAATATTCTTGACATTAGCAAACTACAAAATATTATTTGTAGAAATCAGGAGAGGGTTTTGCATCCTAGTTGCATAATTCTAATGTAAATTTACTTATTTTCACCATGCTGGAGAAAAAGAAATAGTATAATTCAAATAGTCAAAGCAAGAAAATGTTGCATTACCCATATGCATATATGTGTATGTATATAATATATACTTATATGCTATATATTTTGTATTTAGTTTTTGAGTGTGTGTGTGTGTGTGTGTGTGTGTATGTTTGTATACATACAAAATAAAGGGCAGTATACATATCGTTTTGTTCAAGTATAATTTTAGCTCCACAATTTTTTAGCTTAGGCACTGTTTTATAGTTACCAGTTAAAAATATTATATAAACCTGCTATATTATTAGACTTCTAACCATGTAGAAGAGACTCTAAAAGAATCTAAACAAGACTCTATAAAGATATTGTAATTGTTTTTATTTTTGATAAGCACCTGTTCGTCTTTTCTAGAAAAGATCATGCCTCTTTCTCAGTGAGGTGATATATCTTACATTTTTAAATCCTTCATATGTGGTATTTCTTTATTCACTTGATAGATGAAATATGTAAAATCCTATACAATTTGCCATCTGGAACTGGGAGAATTAATGATTATATATTTAGCTACATGTACACACATGCACCCATACATGCACACACGCAAACATACTCATTTCATTATTCATCAAGAGAAAATAAATAAAATGAGGTAGTTTATTTTTTCAGTTTAAAAGCATCTACAGACTGAACATTCAATTACTTTTCTCTAAGGGCCCATAAGGTAGAATTCACATGTTGATACATATTTATAACTGTGTTATTCAGGTTTTAATATTATTAGGTTTCAGTTAACCTCAAAGAGTCAGTGTAAGTCTATCTAGAAAGAAGATAGCAAAGATTCTTGTCTTTGCTTTTGGCTTTAGGCTCAAGAGGAACTTTTTTTATTTTTTCTTTTTAGTCTCCTGCTATTTAAGAGATTGACTATGTATGATTTTCACAAATGTGTATAATAATAGAAAACAGTACCTGTCTGGTAACTCTGCACATGGTACTCCTTTGGCAGCGACAGTCTTTGGCTTCATTAAGGAATACAAATTAGTATGGCCCACTGTTTTGAAATCTGACATGAAAAATAAGATGCATTTATACAACTAAAATGGATTTAAGCAGATTCAGCAACCAGCCTCCTAGATACGTTCAATTAAATATTGACATTTCAGTAGCCATTATTACTTGTATCATATTGGAAACGGGTTGTTGTGGTTCTTGAGTAAGTTTATGCTTTTATGATATTGGGAATCAAAAACTTTAACTTTATTGTATACTTTATTGCATGTTGTGTGATTAGTGGATGGTTTTCAAATTAGTACGTTATCAAAAGATATTACGTAAGTCTTAGGAGAACGGAATTTGTAGTGTTTTCAAAGGATAGTAATATTTCTCAGTTTTATCTTTCTGCTGTTGATATGATTGATTTATTTTTAGTAAAAGAGAATTTCAAAGTATGTATTTAAATCCTCTTGAAACTCTTGTTCTCTGTGCATAAGGCAATATTTTAGTTACTGAATTGAAATCCTTCCAGTGAAAATATATTCCTGAATTCTAGCCAGTCCCTTACAGTATCTGAGAAAATTATGGAAAAATTCAAGATATCAGGACTACTTGAATTGCCTGTTGTGTCTCAAGTTTTCCAATTAGTATCAAGGCTAGATTAATAATCATGCCAAAAATGGAACCAACTGGAAATAAACTTAATTCTACCCTTCCTAGTGTCTCATTTTAGTTGACCAGCTGAATATTATTTTACTTCTAATGACTTTTAGGTGGTTTCAAAGCAAAAGACGTGCGTTTTCTCTGTCATCATGAATAATATTTTGGAATATTTAAAGAAGGGGGCGTATGGCACATACCCTTGGGCAGAATCTCTCTCACTGTGACTTTGTGCTTCTGCTTATTCTCTTCCTGCCTCAAAAGTAGCTGCAGCTCATCAGGACTCTATTCACAGTAATTGGTGAAATCTTTTTGGAATCCTTCAGGCTGTATAAATGTCAAATGTTGCTGCTATTGCTGTTATTAATGGGACTTTTGGTTGAGAGAGAGAAGGAAAGAATAGCTTGATTGTATTAACATGCATTGACTACATATTGACTGCAAAGAAAAATTGTATCTCCAGGAAGAAAGTTAAATTTCCATGATTAAGTATGCAATCAAGAGACAGCAATCTGGCTAAATAGAAAGGAATGATTTGCTCTTTAACAAGCAGTTAGTTCTATGTGGAAGGGAAAATAACTGTCTGTCTCCCCTTTATAAATCTGCCCCTTATTTAGTGCTTTGTGGACTACATAAGGGTGCACCACCCAAAAAGGAATCTTCACAAACCCTGCAATTTCCTCACTTTATCCTCCTGTACTCATTGAATATATGTGAGACGCCCCCCCCCCAGAATACAATATGTGAAGCATACATAAAAGGAAAGAAAAAAAAGTACTGTTTAAATTTTTTTCTTTTTTTTTTCTTACGAAAAGAATATACAACTGGCTTCTTTCCTTCCAAGAATCCTTCAACCTTTCCTATCTTTGTGTCATCCAGTCAACATGTGTCAACACTAAGTGGACTCTGGCAGACTCTTAAATGGGGACATGTCGTGTCTTCTGTCAGGAAAGAAAAAGAAACACTCCCCTGTTTTACTCTACTATTCTCTGAAGGAAATGAAGGTGGGAAAAATGAAGGCCAGGTCCAAACCAGCTATGTATTGTGACACATGCCTCTGCTTTTGTGCACTTTAGGTTGATTACACATTACACTGGATAGCACTTAATTATTTAAAGTGACTTTTACCTTATTGTTATAGCCAGTGTATGATTGAGTCCTTGCTGGGAATGCCAAGTTCTTCTGTTCCTGAGAGAAAGGACTGAGTTTAGATGTCAAGTAGAGATGGCAGATTGTAATTTGACAGGGAGAGAGGAACTAGGCAGTACTCCAATGAGGCCAGCCTCACTGGGTAATTCTGCAGAAACCGAGAATGGGCAGTCTCCTTTAAGAGAGGAGGTGATGGAATCGTCTGGACCTTCAGTAATCACGTATTCATCATTTAGATCTCGGCAACACGGCATAGTGAGAGCCATCGTTTTATACACACTTAGGTAGAATTTGTACTCTAAAGACTGATGATTCAATGTAGGTACTCCAGTGAACTACCAGGAGAAGCTGAATAATTCATTTAACTTCCCTGAGTCTCGTTTTCTCTTTATATAAAAAGGAAGTTTTAACATCTACCTCGGAGTTTTATTAAGATTAAGTGAAGCTAATGTAAGTGGAAGCACCTACACAATGTACTTAGTGGATAACTGATAAACATCAGTTCCCTTCTCTTTCAGCTTGAAATGCCATTATGGTCTCTGTAATGGCCACTTAGAAGCAGGGACCAACTCACCGTAAAAGAGCAGTGACCAGCTGTGGCAGTGTGGCAGAAGTGACAGCCGCATTTTTATATTAGTACGTATATTGTAAAAAGGCATAATTATCTTTACTTGTTCTCTCTGTCGCCAAGAGGAGGATACTATGACCAGCTCAGTAGATAGATAGCACTAACAAGAAATCATGACTACAATTTGAGTTCTGACTGGTGGCAATTTTACTCTGGGTCTCACCCATGGAGACACGTTGACATTTCTAATAATGTAGCACTTTGACTTGCAGGCCCGCTTAGAAATATGTATGGGGTACTTCGATTAAGAAGACTATTAGCATGATGAATAATGTCTGTAACGTTCATGAATTTAGATGAGTAATAATAGAATAGTTAGAAAAACAGAGCTCGGTTGGGGTACATATTTAAACTTGGGGAAGATTTCTAGTAGTGGAAACGTGAATCCAGAGATTTGGGATGATGGATTACTGTAAGATGCCTTTTCTGCTACCTATTTTACATATGGATGAAACTCTATTTAGGAAAGAATTAAGACACTTTCCTACTTTATATTTAATTTTTCATTTTAATTTTAATAACTTTTAAAAATTTTAATCTACTTTTAAAATTTTTGAATTTTATCCTAATATTCTATACATCTTAACAGCTTTAGTGAGGTTTAATACAATAAAATTCACAAATTAGAAATGTATAATTCTATAATGTTTTCTAAATGTATGAAATTGTACAATCATTACCACCATCTGGTTTTAAGATATTTCAATCAACCCCCAAATTTCCCTCATCCCTTTTGCAGATACCTCCCATTTCTACTCCCTGTCTTTGGCAACTATAGATTTGTTTTCTGTCTATAAATTTTCCTTTTTTTGGAAATTCCACGTTTATTAAGTCAGACAACATATAGTCTTTTGCATCTGGTTTCTTTCACTTAATATAATATTTTTGAGTTCCGTCCATCTAACAGCATGTATCAGTAATCCATTTGTTTCTATTGCTTAATGGCATTTTATTTTTATAGTTATATCATGTTGTATCAATTCTTGGGCTATTATGAATCATGCTGCTATGAACATTGTGTAGATGTCTTTGCGTAAGTACATTTTTACTTGTCTTGGGTAGATTTTAAGAGTGGAGTTTCTAGGTCATAGGGTAAGTTTATGTTTAACACTATAACTGCCAAAATACTTTCTAAAGGAGCTTTACCATTTTACATATTTATTGGCAATATATGAGCATTCCAGATTTGTACATCCTTGCTATCATTTCATATTATCTATCGTTTTTGTTAGAAGCTGTGCTGTGGTATTTCATTGTATTTTTGATTTGCATTTCTCTAATGATAAAAGATGCTGAACATTTTCATGTGCCAATTAGCTATTCATATATCTTCTTTGTCAAATGTCTATTCAAAATATTTGGTGATTTTATAATTATTCACCTTTTTCCAAATTGTATATCTAATGAATGATTATAAAAATATATTCTCCCAGTATGTTGCTTCCCTTTTTATTTTCTTCATTTAAATTAATTAATTAATGTATTTATTTTTACTTTTCTCCCACCCTTGGAAATCATTCCTTGTCTTCTGAAGCACAGAGTTTTCAAATTTTTATGAAATCAAACATTATTTTTTTCTCTCATTGATTGGGCTTTTGATTCTGTATCTAACTAAGGACATTCACCCAACCCAAAATAATAAGAATTTTCTCTTATGTTTTTGTCTAGGATTTTAAATAATTTTAATGCTTACAATTAGGTGTATGGTTGATGTCATTTTAATTTTTACATACAGTAAAGTAAAAGGCTAAGCTCTTTGTTGGCAGATATACAATTATGCAAGCACTATCTTTTGAAAATATTAACATTTTGACATTGAATGCTTTGATACCTTTATGAAAAGTCAATTGAACACACAAACACATAGACTGATAGAACAGAATGGAGAACCCAGAGATAAAATCACAGATTTATAACCAACTGATTTTCAATAAGATACCAAGATTATTCTGTGGAGAAAGAACAGACTTTTCTATAAATGGTGCTGGGAAAACTGGATAGATCTATATACAGGAAAAATTAAACTAAACCCCTATCTCTCACTATATACAAAAATCAAATCAAAATGAATTAAAGACTGAAATGTAAGGCCTAAAACTAGGAAATAACTAAAAGACAACATTAGGGAAGCGCTTTAGAAAATTGATTTGGGCAAATTTTTTTGGGGTAAGACCTCAAAGATACAGACAAATAAAAATAGACAAATGGGATTCTATTAAATTAAAAAGCTTCTGCACAGCAAAGAAAACCACCAACAAAGTGAAGAGCCAACCTACAGCATGGGAGAAAATATTTGCAAACTTTCCAACTGACACGGAATTAATAACCGGAATATATAAGAGACTCAAACAACTCAATAGCTAAAAAACAAATAATCCTAAAAGAAAGAAAACCATTACATTGAAGAGGTATCTGTCCTGCTGTTTATTGCAGCATCATTCACAATAGCCAAGATAGAGAATCAACCTAAGTGTCCATCAGTGAATGAATGGATTTTTTAAAAAAGGTTGTTTATACATATAATGGAATACTATTCAGCGATAAAAAAAAAAAAACCTAGAATCAAATTCTGTCATTTATAGAAACATGGATAGAAGTAGAGGTCATTATGTTAAGTGAAATATGTCAGGCACAGAAAGACAAATATCACATGTTCTCACTCATTCACATGTAGGAACTAAAAAAGTCAATCTCTTGGAGGTAGAGTGGATGGTGGACTAGAACCTAGGAAGTTTAGTTGTGGGGTGAAGATTGGTGGGTTAGTGGTTACAAAAATAGATTGAAGGAATAAGTTCTAGTGTTCAATAGCACAGTAGGGTAAACATAATTAACAATAATTTATTGCGCATGCCAAAATAGCTAGAAAAAATATTTAAAATATCTCCAACATAAAGAAATAATAAATGTTTAAGGGGATAGATATCCTTATAACCCTGATTTGGTCATTATGCATTATCTGCATGTCTCAAGATATCACATATACATAAATATGTCTAACTATTACAAATCAATAAAAAAATCATTTGACCATACTATTCACTAAACTCCAGTCTTTTTGAGATATTACCAGGTTTTACACTAATGTCCTTTTACTGTTCAAGAATTGAATCAAGGATACCATGTTACATTTAGTCCTCATGTCTTCTTAGTTCCTTTTGGTCTGTGAAAGTTTTTTAGTCTTTCCTTATTTTTCATGATCTTGTTTGAAAATGCTGGTGTTTTTATTATTTATTTATTTATTAATTTTTACAAACATTCCATGGTAATGTAAAAGACAAATATTAGGGAAAATTGGGTGAAGGCCATATAAGAACTCTCTGTATTATGTCTACAACTTATCTATTAATTTGAAATTGTTAAAAAATATAAATTTATTAAAGAAAAAATTAATTGACTACACCTGTAAGGATTTACTTTTCAAATCTCAAATCTATAATAATTTATTTTTATTCATATCCTGGCACCGATTATACCCTGCCTTGATTATTGTGGCTTTATATTAAATTCCGAAATCTGATAGTCTATATATTCCAAATTTATTTTTCTTCAAAATTGTTTGTCTTGTTTAAATCCTTTTCATTTTCATATAAATTTTAGGAGCAGTTGGTCAATTTCCCCAAAAAATAGTGCATGGGAATTTTGGTAGAGTTGTATTGAATTTATTGGTTAATTTGAGAATTGCCATTTTAAAATTATTGTGTGTTTCAATCCATGAACATGAAATACATCTCCATTTATATAAATCTCTAATTTTTGTTGGCAGTGTTTTAGAGGTTTCAGTGTATAAGTCTTAAACTTCATCAGATTTATTTACTAGTATATTTTCTTTTAAAATATATTGTGAGTAATATTGTTTTCTCTATTTCAATTTAGGATTTTCTGTTGCTACTATGTAGAAATAAAATTAAATTTTGTATATTGACTTTGTATTTTGCAAAGTTATTTTACTTCTTTGTTTGTTCCAGTGGACTTTTTGTGTGAATTTCTTGGGATTTTCTATACACAAGATTATTTTGTCTGCAATTTTACTTCTTCCTCTATAATCTAGATGTCTTTTAGTTATTTATTTGTCTGACTACACTGATCAGAAACTCCAGTATTATGTTGACTAGAAAGGACAAGAGCATATTTCTTTGTCTTCTTTCTAATGTTAGAATGACAGGATTTGGTTGTAGGTTTGTAAATGCTTATTGTCAAGATGAAGGTGTTTACTTCTATTCCTAGTTTTCTGATAATTTTTAAAATGAATAAATGTTAGATATTGTTAAATGCTTTTGCTGCACTTATAAAGATAATAATTTTGTTCTTTATTCTATTGATGTTGTATATAAAATGAATTTATTTTCAAAGATTGAAATAACCTTGGATTTATAGGATAAACCCCACTTTATAATGAATGTAATGTGTTTTACTCCCTACTCTTCATACTGGCTAATTTATTTGAACTATATTCAGATTTCCTGATTTTTCTTTCTGCCACATCTAATCTACTGTGAAACATCTCTACTACATTTTTCTTTCATTTTTTGAGCTTTTCAGCTCGAGAATTTTCATTTCTGAAAAAATATGTATAATTACTTTTATGACACTATTTTCAATTTATTGCTGTCTTGCTTCCTTTACATCATGTAAAAATGTTTCCACTTCTTAGACAATATTTATAATACTTCTTTCAAGCATTTGTCTGCTAAATCAAACATGAGTACATTACTTAGACAGTTTCTATTGACTATTTTTCTATTTCGATCCCTTTAATATGGCTGTTACTTTTCTGTTTCATTATATTTCTTATACCTTTTTGTTGAAAATCAGACATTTTATAGAATGTGCTACAGCAATGCTAGATTTCTATTTTTGCTTTTTTAAAATGAAGTTTGTTGACATTAGTGGTTTTTTGTGTCTTTTTTTTAATTTAGTCACTTTTCTGGATTAATTCTGAAATTTGTCTTCCCTCTGGTATGTAGTTGCTGATGTTTCTGCTCAGATGTTTTAAAATTAATTCTTGATTTTACTTTTAACTCTAGCTTCCTAGAGTTTTTCTATGTATCTTGAGTACGTTAATAATTAGCCAATGACTGATCAGAAATTATGCTTAACCATCTCAGAACAGTAACCCTTCAGTTTTCTGCAGATGCAGTGTATGGTGAATCACATTCAAATTTCAGCCAATTTTCAAGCCTTCCCTGGCATTTATTTTCTGCTGGACCCTTTTGCATCTCCTGTGTTTATGCACACAGCTTCTGGGTTGACCAGGACTATGCGGCTAGCTTAGAAGCTCCTAATTTTTAACTACATATATGTATAGCCTCAGTCAGGAATATATTTTCCCCAACCATGCAATGTGAAGCTTTGAAAATCCATTGTAATTTCTACTAACAACACCAATAGGCTTTGTGGGCATTGCTGCCAACATCAACTACAACAAAGGTGCCAGTCCTCCTGGCTTTACTCTGCTCTGGCTGAATCTCCATCCAGTGGTGGAAGTGGGGAAGTAGCAGAATTCCGGGGCAAGAACATTATAAAATCCTCTTCTTACCTGTTCTTCTGCAGTTTTTCATCTGTAAATGCCTCTCAGATTTTTTTATGACTTTGGTTTATTTCCAGATTGTTGAACTAGTTATTTTCATCAATTCTGTGTAGTTGTAGAGTGGGTTTTTGCAGAAGGTATTTTGCCTATCTTCTTAATTGCCCATATCTGGATGTCCTACCAACTCTTCTGCACATATTTGTGAATCATTTTATTGAGAATGGTTTCACCATTAGATAACTTTTGAAACCTAATGTAAAGAAAAAACAGGATTACGTATCATTGGATACCTCCTTCCTTTCAGATTTTCTTTAAAAGTTTCATAGGAAATGAATCATCAATTTTTCCTAAAACTGAAAATTTCAGTGTCATTGGTTCAGGATATATATAGGCATTATCCATATGTATTATATCTACCTGTTCTGTTTTGTAATCTTTCACTGTAACAAAAGTGAAATGGTTTATTTGTGTAGAGTAAGACCTCAGTGAAGTGACAGGCTAAGAAAATGGGTGCAGTATTATTTAGCTAGGTATGAATTGGTTAACAAAATACAAATTAAACTCTTTTAGAAATTATGAACCTGATTCCTTAATTTAGTATGTATCCTATTGATTTAGATATATCTTGGGTAACTGATGATATGTAAGGTTTTTGAGTAGTATTTCAACATGAAATCTCGATATAAAATAATATGTTTAAAAAGAGAAGGCATAGAATATTGGTCTTAAAATTATTTTGAAAAATGTGCTTATATTTGTTTTTAGGAAGTAAATCATTTTTTTCCTTATCATAGAAACTGAACAAAAATAGGAGAAAGGAGTTAACCTAATCTTTCTTATTATTAGTGATATGATGATAATAGCACTTTATGTTATTAAACAACTGACAGTTTAAAAAATAAGCTCAACTAACTTTTATAAACCAGAGCTTATTTGATATATTTAGCAATTTAGTGTTGCAAGATATACCAAGTGAAACTTATTAGGTACCTATTCACACACTGAGCCAATAATTGGATATATAAAGATGGAAGGGAAAGTCTTAGCATCCAGGAACTTGCGATCCTTAGTGGGAATAAAACACTAAGTAGACAATTACAGTGCAATGGTTTGTGTCACAAGAATGATTTTCACAGATGTTATGGATGTAACCTGAGGAGAAGCATCTTAACCTTGGTTTCCTAAGTAAGATAGTGCTAGAATATAAACAATATAGGTAAAGATGAATGAAAAAGATGAAAGAAGAGAGAAGAAACCTTATTTTATAGTTTTTATAAGTCAGGCATTGATCAAGGCACTCCACTTAAGAAATCTTGTTTAAACAAGGCAACTACTCAATAAAGAGCTTTTCATAATCTCAGGGAAAAACAAACAAACAAACCAATTAAATCCTGAAGCCCATTAGGCATAATTAACTTGGGTGAATTGCTGACATGATTTATGTGTGTGCAAAGATTTGCAGACAGCAATGTGTGTTATGCTGATAGAAAAGCATAGAAGTATAGAAGGAAGCTTTATAAGTATTGTTATGATAAAGTTAGGGAAAAGTGAAGGCTTGACCTAAGGCACTGGCAGTGAGAAAAGAGAAAAAATAGAGTTGTAAGCATTTGAGGAGTCAGCCAGCATGGGTGAAAGTTGATGAGTTAAACTTAACTTTTAATGTAAGGAAGAGATAAGATTCAAAAGTGATTACCAGGTTTCTGACTTGGGCAAATTACTGGATGATGTTTGTCATTCGTTTAGGAAAAGAGAGCAGGAGAAGAAGCAAAATTTGGATGGGAGTGGGATATTACGGACCAGTAACTAGATGTCCCCAGTAAAATGCTAACATGTTCTCACTAAACCATGCAACCCTTGCATCAACTACTAAGTTCTACTAAGACAGGTGGACTATGTCTTGCCAGAATAACCGTTATGATGCAACGCATCATATCTATCAGGGTCCTTCAGATCCCAGTATCATTATGAGTTAAAAGGATCTGAAAAACTACTAATTACTCTCAGCTTTCTTCATATAAATATCTAGCCCTTGAAAAATCATGGTCTCAGAAAGTCTCTCTGTCTGTCTGTCTCTTCTCTCTCTTTTTATTTTATTATGATGAAAAAGAGTCATTGAGGAGAGGGATATTTCAGATAGCTGTCACCTGTATTTCTTTTCAGTTAGATAAATATTATGTCAGTTTGCTGCCAAGTTCAGACACACTGGCAGGAAAGTTTTCTGAGTGAGGCAAAGGAATAACCAGGTTGGCTGTTCTAGCTTTCGATCCTTATTTATTACACCACTGCAATTTGTCTTAGAACAGAGACAGCTGTCATTATGCTAGTTTCAGATTAAGCTAACTATTGTAGACAAGGCTCCGATGGAAAAAGAGACATACTTATCAGCTTCTGCATTGTGTTCCATCCAGGAATACCTGTCTTTACGTTATAGATATCTATTGTGATAGGACCACAAGTCTTCTACCTATACGTGGAAAGCCTTTTAAAGACCTTCAGAGTCAACCCTGAATATAATATCTTTTGCAAAAGATTGAGGATTAAAAAACATCAAAATACCCTATAGAATACTAGTTGTAATATACTTATCAATTTTAAGGTTATTTAAAAGTTGTTTTCTAAGCCTAGAAATCTCCCAGTTATTTGCATTTAAATGGCCCTCTAAAACTTACCCAACAATGGAAATTGGTCGCCAGTAGATATCATCCATATTGTCCTATTATATCCACGAGTATAATGCTAAATGATGCTAATGATGATCATACTCTCTATAAGAATGTGTCTAAAAAACACAGTAACTATCTTATTAACACATGCATTATAAATGAATCAAGGTGTGAAGCCAGTGGTTATCATTCTTGCTTTTTGCACACAACATAACACCTTCCTCTCCAATTGAAAAAAGAAAAAAGACAAACTTCAGGCAGAGTAGTTTACAAAGAGCCTCTGGATATCTGTTGTGAATCTGTGACAGGATAGGACAGCTGGTTTTGGTTTTCACATTTACTCATGGGTACCTTCTACTGTGCTTTCTGCTCTCTGATCTCAATGGAGAGTGAAGAGTAAAATCCAGCAATCTGTTGGCACACAGATGTGGAGCTATTGTCAAGCTTTTGCTTTTACATCCCAGTTCCTCCTGATAACCTCTAGTGGCCTAGAATTAATGATCTTCCATTTGCATCCCAAAAAGAAACATGATAGTCAATACGTGTAAAACTTATAAACTGTCAGCAAACCTCAACTTTGGTCTCTTTGAGCTTTACTTACTCCTTTACCAGGTGGACCCAGGTCTCTCATTTAGTAAAAGTGGCTGATTTCTGTCCTCTTAATAGTGGTAGGACAAACTGGGGGGAAGTCCTCTTAGCTCTTTGCTTTCTCAGTTACTCACTTCGTGAAATCGCATTAAATAATTTTGACTACATGTATAGAAAGCATCTTATATTCTATTAAGAAAGATATGTAGTTATTAGCTTTAATGCTAGGAGGAAAAATGTAGGTCATTTCTCTATTAGAACACATAATCATATAGCACTGGTAAAAGTGTCACTTTTATAACAAGCTCCTTTTCTTGATGTTTATGTGACAACGAGTTGGACTAGAGTTAAAGAGGAAGGTGCAGGTCAACCAGTGCACTGAGCTGATGGCATTCCCACTGAATTTGACAGAACAGTAACAACAGGAGTCAATTTTAATGAGACTGGTGCTCCTTGGGAAGGACATATGCCATAAATTATCAGCTCATGGAAGAGGCAGCAAAAAAGGAGCCACAAAGGAAATTTTTTAAAAGTATGGGTGGTAGAATAAGGTGACTTCCCATGGAGAGCAATCAGGGCTCTTGAGAAAATCATCCAAGACCTGCAAGGTAAAAAATTACTGACTTCAAAAGAGAATTGGAATGGAGTATCTATCAAATGTGTTTTGGTAAATAAGGTCTGAGGGAAGGGTATTGATATGGTTTGGCTGTGGCCCACCCAAATCTCATCTTAAATTGTAGCTCCCATAATCCCCACATGTTGTGGGAGGGACCTGGTGAGTGGTAATTGAATTAAGGGGCAAGTTTTTCCTGTGCTGTTCTTACGATAGTGAATAAGTCTCACAAAATCTGATGGTTTTGTAAAGGGAGGTCCCCTACACATGCTCTCTTGACTGCCACCATGTAAGACATGACTTCGCTCCTCATTCACCTTGTGCCATGAGAGTGAGGTCTCCCCAGTCATCTGAAACTGTGAGTCAGTTAAACCTCTTTCCTTTATAAATTACCAAGTCTTGTGTATGTCTTTGTTAGCAGTGTGAGAATGGACTAATACAGTAAATTGGTCCTATTAGAGTGTGTGCTACTGGAAAGATACCCAAAAATGTGGAAGCGACTTTGGAACTGGGTAACAGGCAGAGGATGGAACAGTTTGGAGTTCTCAGAAGAGGACAGAAAAATATGGGAATGTTTGGAACTTCCTAAAGATTGTTGAATAGCTTTGACCAAAGTGCTGATAGTATTATAGACAATGAAGTACAGGTTGAAGTGGTCTCAGATGGAAATGAGGAACTTGTTGGGAACTGGAGTAAATGTCACTTTTGCTATGTTTTAGCAAAGAGACTGGTGGCATTTTGCCCCTGCCCTAGAGATTTGTAAAACTTTGAGCTTGAGAGAGATGATTTAGGGTATCTGGCAGAAGAAATTTCTAAGTGGCAAAGCATTCGAGATGAAGCAGAGCATAAAAGTCTGAAAAATTTGCAGATGACAATGCAATAGAAAAGAAAAAACCCATTTTCTGGGGAGAAATTCAAGCCTGCTGCAGAAATTTGCACAAGGAACAAGGAACCAAATGTGAATCACCAAGACAATGGAGAAAATGTCTCCAGGGCATGTCAGAGACCTTTGCAGCAGCCCCTCCCATCACAGGCATGGAGGCATAGGAGGGAAAAATGGTTTCATGGGTCAAGTCCAGGGTCCCCCTACTGTGTGCAGTGTAGGGACTTGGTGCCCTGCGTCCCAGCCATTCTAGCCATGGCTAAAAGGAGCCAAGGTACAGCTCAAGCCATGGCTTCAGAGGGTGCAAGCCTCAAGCCTTGGCAGCTTTGATGTGGTATTGACCATATTGCTGCTACACAGAAGTCAAGAATTGAGGTTTGGGAACCTCCACCTAGATTTCAGAAGATGTATGGAAATGCCTGAATGTTCAGGCAGCAACTTGCTGCAGGAGTGGAGCCCTCATAGAGAACCTCTGATAGGTCAGGGCAGAAGGGAAATGTGGGGTTGGAGCCCCCACACAGAGTTGCAATGGAGAAACTGCCTAGTGGAACCGTGAGAAGAGGGCCACTGACAGCTTGCACTGTGCACCTGGAAAAGACGCTGACTCAATGCTAGCCTGTGAAAGCAGCCAGGAGAAGGGCTCTACCCTGCAAAGCCACAGGGGTGGATCTGTCCAAAGTCATGGGTGACCACCTCTTGCATCAACATGCCCTGGATATGAGATATGGAGTCAAAGCAGATTATTTTGGAACTGTCCAATTATTTGGAACATTATTAAGGTTTAATGACTGTCCTATTTGATTTTGGACTTGTGTGGGGCCAGTAGCCCCTTCGTTTTGCCAGTTTCTCCCATTTGGAATGGGTGCATTTATCCAATGCTGATACCCTCATTGTATCTAGTAAGTAACTATCGTGCTTTTGATTTTACAGGATCATAGGCAGATGAGACATTGGACTGTGGACTCTTAAGTTAATGCTGAAATAAGTTAAGACTTTGGGGACTATTGGGAAGGCATGATTGGTTTTGAAATGTGAGAACATGAGATTTGGGAGGGGCCAGGGTGGAATGATGTGGTTTGGCTGTGTCCCCACCCAAATCTCATCTTGAATTGTAATAATCCCCACATGTCAAGGGTGGAGCCAGGTATAGATAATTGAATCATGGGGCAGTTTTCCCCATAATGTTACTGTAATAATTAATAAGCCTTACAAGATCTGATGGTTTTATAAATGGGAGTTCCCCTGCACAAGCTCTCTGCCCTGCTGCCATGTAAGACATGTCTTTGCTCCTCCTTTGCCTTCCGCCATGATTATGAGGCCCCTCCAGCCACATGAAACTGTGAGTCAATTAAACCTCTTTCCTTTATAAATTATCCAGTCTCAGGTATGTCTTTATTAGCAGCATGAGAACAGACTAATACAGGCATGTACTGTAATATAAGAAAGAAGGAATTCTGCTATGGGTTCCAAAATTTGCTGGGGTAACCTGGGCAATTAGATTTTATTCTGGCATCATTTTGTAACTGTACATACTGAGCAAACTCAACCTTGCATGAAATGATCAAGTCAGAGATCTTAAGAAAATTGGGGAATTTTATAGAACTTTAAAATTCAAATCATGTATTTCAAGATGTTAATGTGAAGAAATGCACTGTATATCATCATGTATTTTTTTTCCACTTTCTCTCCCTTTTTCTAGAATCTAGGGACTTCTATAATTTGTTTCTCTTTCAGATTCACTTGCTCACTTCTCTTTTTTTATCCAAATGTTTTGCAGATGTGTTATAAACAAATAGGTAACCGAAGGTTTCTCTTGCCTTTTGGTGCCTTACTCTTTGATTATTCTAATGTTAAAAATTACAATTTTCCATTATCCACAGAAGCTGCTTTTAGGATAAATGAAAATTAAATTCTATACTGGGATGTATGCCATTAGAGTCTATTTTTCCTATATGATATCTTATCACATTTTCATTTTTGTGGCTTAGAGCTTAGGGCAAATATCTTTCCTATTCTTATTTTTATGTTTGAGAAGAATATTACATAATATCTCTTAAATGCTCCAGGGCAGGCTTTTGGAAATCATTAAGAATCTTATATTTTAACATAGAGAACCAAAAGCAATGGTTACATTGAGGGCCAAGTTTCTTTTCTAAAGCCGAATTTATCAAATATTATCACTATCATTTTATTATCATTTCTATTATTAATACCATTGCTGTTATTTATTGGGCAAACATAATCTGCTGATACATTCACAAGATGTATATAACTGTCTGCATTCTATAAAGGAGAAGACTGTGTATCAGTCAGAGGCCTAAGTCACATAACAAGTGAGAGTTGCTAAATCAGGATGGAAACCTAGTTATATGTGATTTGAAAACCCATGTGCTTTCTACTACAGTCTGTTCCTACAAATTAGGATTAATAATAGAAATAAGCATCTCCTTTTCCACTACATTTGACATTTACTGAATTTAATAATCTTTGGGAGGTTGTAACATAAGCTAACAAAAATTACAGACAATTACATGTTAAACTGGGCAGTACTTACAATGCAATAGCAATTAGAGAGAAGGATGATAAGTGAAATAATAGGGAAAAGGTGCATGAAGGTTGGAATTAAACTAAGTCTCATTAATAATAATGGCTGCATTCTGAAAGGGCCATTGATTTCTATATATCTGATCTTCTTGGCATCCTGGCAGAGTTGCTATTATCCTCCCTATCTCACATATAAGGACATTGAAACCCATGAATGATCCTCTCTACCTCACATACAAGGACAACCCAAGGGAGCAGCCTGCCTAAAGTAGATGCCATTTGGCCGGGTGTGATGGCTCATGCCTGTAATCCCAGCACTTTGGGAGGCTGAGGCAGGCATATTGCTTGAGCTCAGAGTTTGAGACCAGCTTGGGCAACATGGTGAAACCCTTCTCTACTAAAATATAAAAAATTAGCTGGGCATGGTGGTGTGTGCCTGTAGTCCCAGCTACTCAGAAGGCTGAGGCAGGAGAATTGCTTGAATCCAGGAGGCAGAGGTTGCAGTGAGCTGAGGTAACACCACTGCACTCTAGTCTGGCTGACAGAGAGAGAATCCATCTCAAAAAAAAGAGTAGATGCCATTTATATATTAATTCAAATATATTTATTGATAGCTTCCCTCTGGCATGCACTGTACCAGGCTCTTAGGAAACAGCTGTGAACAGGATACATAATGTTCCTGTCCTCAAGGTACTTATGTTCTTGTACAAGCACAGTTTATCAGTTATTAAATATAATAAGCTTGAGGTACAATCAACATAATTAATTCACATAATCTTAGGTGCTATGGAGGAAATAAAGTAAGAAATTATAATAGTGATTAGTACTTTAGATAGTGGAGTTGGAGAGGGCCTCTTTTAGAAGGTCACATTT
Organism: Homo sapiens; assembly: GCF_000001405.40. Classification (NCBI taxonomy): domain Eukaryota; kingdom Metazoa; phylum Chordata; class Mammalia; order Primates; family Hominidae; genus Homo; species Homo sapiens. Next base: position 40,811,203 of record NC_000011.10, on the reverse strand, counting down.
GAAGTGAGATCTGTGTGAAGAAAAGAGTCAGACATTAAAGGAAAAAAAAGAAAAAGAAAGCTTGAGAAATATCTTCCAGATGAAGGAAGAACACAATTAAACATCCATAGGAGAGAATCAAAGTGCCATGCTCAAGGAATTAAAAGATCTCCAGGATTTCTGGAATGCAGAGTACAAGTTTGGAGAGAAAGACAGAGGTCTGATTATGCAGGGCTTTGCAGAACATGGGAAGAGTTTGAATTTTATTCTAAGTGACACTGGAAGACATTGGAAAACTTAAAGCAAGAAAATGTTAGTATTGGATATAAATTTTTGGAAAAAAGTATTCTGGACTGTAAAGGGTTATGTGGGTACAGGCAGATCATTTAGCAGGCCCCAGTAGTGAACAACAATTGTGACAATGGAATTGACGAAAGTTGGTGGATATATTTTGGGCACCAAACCAAAAAGACATGTTAATTAATTAGGAGTAGGGGTGATAGTAATAGAAGAATTAAGATTTAACCGTTAAGTATTTGGTGCAAGCCCTCAGATAGATGTTGGTGCCCTTTTCTGATTTGAAGAAGGGAATGGAAGGAGCAATTTGCAGAAATGGGAGGTAAGATACCAAGAGTACCATCTGAGATACACTCATCTTGAAATGTTATTAGACATCCAATGCAAGACACCGTGTTTAAAAATGAGTCTAACCTCAAGAGAAAGATCAGGACTGAAGTTAAAAATTTGGTTATTAGCTTACAGATGTTATTTAAAACTATTGGACAAAATAAGATCATCTTGGAAGAAAGTTTAGATAAAAAACTGATGAGGGCTTCCCCCAGTGTTGGGGTACTCCTACATTCATAACTTAAACAGAGAAGGAGATAACCAAGGCAACTGAGATATTGCTGGTGAAATAGCTGAGAGAACCATGGTGACACAGAAGTCAAGAAAAGACTGTATTTCCACAAGGAGCAAGTATTCATGTGTCTCAATTTTTGCTGCAAGGTCAATTAGATAATGGAAGATATAGAAACATTGGATTTATCCACACCAAGGTCACTGGTAACCTGAACAATAGTGATTTGAGTAAACTGGTTGAGTTGGAAATCCATACAAAGTCTAATAAAAAAACAAACAACAAGGAAGTCAGGGAATGGAGGTAATAAATAGAGACAAAGGTTTTAAAAATATTTGCTGTGAGGAAAATGCCTAAATGAAGCAATAGGAAAGGATGTGGAGTAAAGAAAGAGTAATTTATGCCTCTATTTTGAACAGTGTTATGACTTCAAACCATTATTTTTGTACATTTCAATCTCTTAGAGTACTAAAAGTCATATAAGTCTTGGAAATAAAATGAAAGTCAAAATGAGGTCTTCCTATTTCAGGGAGAATAGTATAAGCAAACCTTAAGAAATTTAATAACAACCACCATTTACTGAGAGTCTGCACTTTGTAAGGCATGATGCCAGGATCTGGCAATATAGAGACAATAAATTAATAAATTTATTCAAAATATACAGTTGAGTGAGCACGTGCAACATGTCAACATAATTCTAGGTGCTGAAGTTTCAATAGTGAAACAAACAATACGTTGCTTTCCTTATGAGGCTATTTTTTTTCTGTGTGGAGGAGGGGAAACAGACAGTAAATGAATGAGTAGAATATCTACTTACAGCAAAAAGTTCTATAGAAAAAAATGCAGCAGGGGAGGGATATAGGTAGGACACAGAGGTGGGGAGATGTAGAAATTTTTAAGTATAATTAAGAAAACTACAGTGAAAAAAGTTTGAACAAAAATATGACAAATAATATTGAGAAATAGTGATATCTGTGTGAAAAATAGGCACAGGCAAAGGAGAATGCAATCCAAAGGGCCTTGAAGTAGGATCTTCCCAGGTCAAGTATAAAAAGTAGGAGACAGAGAACGTGTCAGATGCTTATCTCTATGCAGTTCATTCTTGATTTTGACAAGAGCAGTTCAGCAGCATAGTGGAGAAGGAAGCCAGGTTGAAATGGAGAGAGAATTAGGTGCAGGTAGAAAACACAGTAAACTATTTTGAGAAGTTTTACTGTAAAGGGAAGCAGAGAATTGAGATGGTTGTTGGAAGACAGTGAAGTCTGGAGAGGGATTTTTTTCAAAGACAGAATTTTAACTGGATGTTTGTACACTGATGGGAATTGTCCAGCAGAAAAGGAAGAACCAGTGAGCATCAGAGAGGAATAACTGCTGAAGCTAAGTCCCAGGAGAGGGGAGAGAGGTTGGGTAGTGATTAAAAAGACAAATAAGTGAAAAGTTTGGCATTAGGTATACAGACAAATTGACACACCCACAGGAAGAAAGGTAGAATAGGGCTCAGATGCATGTAGATATGTGATGAGAACTCAGAAACACTATTTTTCATCAATCCTCTGTTTAGTCAGAGAGAAAGCAAGTTATTAGCTGAGATGCTGAAGAAAGAGACTTTGGAAATTTGATGAGAAGAGAGAAAGTATGAAACAGCTATTTAAAAAGTGAAAGGATCAGAAATATAGGATTGACCGGCGGTACTGGGTCTCCCTTGACCTTGGTGGTCATGCATTTTAAGTGAGGCAAGTCAGGGCAGTTCCATGAATTTTTCCAGCTGTGCTCCGTTGTGCAGAGGAGAAGGCAGGGGAGACAGAGAGCACCCTTTACTTTATAACAGGAGAGAGAAAGAGAGAAGAAAATAAAATATAAATAGTAAAACAAAAATATAGAATGTGTAAGTGCTACAATTGAATTACTTCAGATATAGTGAGAGTTCAGAATTGAGAGCAAGAACTCTGGCTGACTTGAGTAATAGGTATAGGAAGGTTAGACACAGAAAGGAATGCTTAAAGCATTAATAAATAAGTAGGGGTGGAGAACATGTATTTCTGAAAGTGCTGATGAATTTATCATTATCATATAATTTTATTATCAATCAAAATCAAGATAGAAAGTATAATTTTAGCAGTCTAGAAATAGTCATAATAATGGAAACAGTAATGATAATTATGATAATATAAAATATCAGATTATATATACTATAGGATACACAATATAATTTATAATTTTACTACATTTCTTACTCTTGTATCATCTATTATTGTTTAGTGAGCATTCTCAGAAGCACATTTACATATAGCTATTATTCTTCCCATTTTACAAATAAGGAAGCCAAGACACAGGTTATTAAGTCACTTGCTCATGATAAAAAAACTGGTAATTAGCAGAAAGAGGGTTCAGATCCAGATGTACCTGATGTAATTTTTTTCCAAAATAATCAAAAATATTATTCCCAGGCATGGAATTCTAGGCTACTGCACCCTGGCAGAGTTAAGAGCAAAGGTGCTTATCAGTCCTGTTGAATGTGGTATCCAGCAATATAATATCTAAATCAAAGCTTTGTCTTAAGATCCCATACAATTAGAATAGCATGTTGATTTTCTCGCCATATGCTGGCAAAGTTGAGATCTGAATGTTGAATTACTCTAAGCATGAGATGCTGTATCTTAAAACCAAAGGTTCAAATGGAATACTAAAATCCGTGCAGAAAACTGCAATGCCTGCTAGTTTCATAGTATTTACTGCTTTGGATGACAGCTCCATTTGCTCCTCTGAACAGCAGACTTTAATTGTGTCACAGAAAGGAATGGCACAGTCTTCAAGGCTTCTGTTCTGTCAGAAAGAGTTTGACAATATACAACTTAGTTGTCCTTTACACAACAAGGTCAATGTTGGAGTAAAGCTGTTTCCATCAATAATGAGAGAGAGGGATCAGTGAAGATGAAATAAAGAAACAACTGGTGTGCTCACGGTTTGTTTGTTTCCCTCTGTCTTCATGGTTAGACCTACTATTACAGGGTCTGGGGATGACAATAAAAACTGACAGGTGAGAGATGTCCCTTGAAGCCTGTCGCAGGACTAGTAGCACCAACAGGGTACAGTGTGAAAATTAAGTGTCTCTGTCTTCTGAACCTGTTGAAATGTATCTCTGACCAACTATGAAATTGACTTTTATTATTGACAACTTATCAGTCTATTGGAAAAAACTGTGTGGGGGTGAGGAGTAAAAGTTGACTGAAGTTGGAGTGAGGTGCCCTGAAAGTTAGCTGTATATTTTGAAAACAACCATATCCAGTTTTCTTAAAGGGATGAAGAGAAAATCAAAAGAAAGCATGCACTTGGGTCATTAAAAATATAATATAAATGTAGCTCTCTTTGATGAATTTGAGAAAAAAAGTAGAGCAGTTTTTTTTTAATCCTACTCAACTCTCACAAATGCAAAAACTCTCTCCTCTTAATTTTCTAGAATGTAGATTATGCAAGAACATTTTTAATTCAAGACTGGCTATACGCTGTCTCCTAGCAGACATCAGGAATATGCCTTTCTTCCTGCCTGCATAGTGGTATGTTTTTGAGAAATACTGATAGATTCTAATAGTAGATGTAGTAAGCAGATGTATACATTTCTGGGACTAAAATGAAGTAAAATATTCTAAGTCAAAATACACACAGATATGTGACTCACATGTAAATATATATTTGTGATTTGGGCAGATTTATCAAAAATTATTGCAACAATATTTGTGGTCTTATCCACTTTTCCAAAATTTTGTTCCATCAATAGCAGGTTTTGTTTCCCCTCTCTTGGAAAAGGAGGGGGTCATTGTGACTGTCCCGATTCTTGTGGATTATAGTGGATGTGGTGCTGCATGGCTTCAGAGGTTAAGTCCTAAAAAGTTATGTAGCTTCTGCTTGTCTCCCTCTTGGGGCGTTTGCCCCAGCAGCTCTGAGCTGCCATAGCAGACAGACCAGCAATAGAGATGATACAGCTAGAGCTACAAATAAAGCTGGAGGTACAGATGGACGTGGACATGGACATGGACAGATAGATGGAGACAGACATGAAGAGAAGGAAAATCCAAGGAACCCTAGCTCTTCTGTCTCTCTGCTATTTGAGCCTTCTCATCCCAAGCTCCAGACATATGAGCAAATAATCCTTCAGATAATTCTAATCTCAGCCTTCAAGTGGCCTAAATTTTTTAAGGCCACTAAATTTTGAGGTGGTTTGTCACACAGCATTAGATAATGACAACAGTCGTAACATTTTTTAAAATTTTATAAAAATGAAGGTTTCAGTGTATGCATTTAGAAATTATACGTAGCAAAACTATATACTACTGAAGCTGGGTGGGACATTAGGGGCCATTTGGAGTAATTAAATTCCTTTGTAGGACACTGATTTTCCCAGCAGTTCCATTGTTGTACTCAAAAGGCAAGGACAGAACAACAAGAAATCTGCTGAGTCCTAGGACCATGCTCTTTCTTGATGAACATTATGAAACCCTATTTTTTTTTCTGAGTCATACCTACATAAATAGAATGAATGTGATGGTCTTATAAACACCATACTCTTTACATCTCTGAAGCTGTTTACCAATAGTGATTAATACTAAAATTGAATACTGCTTGCCTGAGAACTAGAATCATAACAGATATATCTGTGTTTTTTTGTGCAGTTAATATAAGAAAGTGAAGAACAAGACTCCCTAGTGTCAACAAGAGACTTGGGAAGAGAACTTTACTGTAGGTTGAAGGTGGAGATAATGTCTTACTTATCGTCACACTCTTGAAACTAGTGTTTAGTACACCCAGGGTTAATTTATTTTGTATAGATATGTCTATCACTAGAATATTTACATAGTCTCAGAACTGCATAAAAATAGAGTATTAAGATATGTTTATTTACAAAAAAAAGAAAAGTGACTCAAATCAATCTGGTTTAAACAATGAATGGCTGTCACAATTGAAAATTCCAGAGGGCAATTTGACTGTAAGTGACGATTTGTCCAATTGGTCAAGTGGTAGGACTAGAACAAGTTTTCCTCCCCCTTTTCCACTTTTGAGATTTAGTTTTAGAGTCTGCTTTACTGTCAGCCCACTTTTTCTGTCTTTGGCCCAAGATAGCTGCCATAGGATCCTAAATCTGCATGATCCCTAATCTCAGCCACTCAGCAAACATCCTTTTTCTCAAGGGAGTAAGTTAGGTGATGTAAATTTCATTGATTCAATTTCTGGGACATAGTAATGGAATTGAATATCAGCTTAGGCTCAGGCTTCATTGTTGGACATGAAGTAACCAAAGCATTCCTTGTAGCATGGAGGGATAGGTTTTATACTTCTCACTCAATTAAAATATTATCATTATAGAAAGGTGAGCTGGACACTGGGTGGCCAAGCCAAGAAATGTACACTCCAAAGATCCATTTAGGAATCAATGTATTCCAATATCTAAAAAACCCAGCCCCATCCAATGAGTTAATTTTTCCTTTTTATGGATTACTTTAAGCATTTCTTTTGACCAATGCAATGGAGTACTAATTATTTATGGAAATGTTTCTCTACATAAGAGTTTTTGCACTTTTATAGCTTTAGAGAGTGAGAAAAAAAAATAATTTCAAGTCATCTGGAATATCCCCAGTGTTCTCTGCTGTAAAATCTTTGGATGAAGTAAAGTAATAACTTGGGAGGCTTGAGAATCAACTGGCTTATGATTTATCCAACTGCAAATTAGACTAGTTCAACTGGGTAATAAGAATAATAATAATACATGCTTGGGGAACGTAATACACAGTGGAAGAATAAAGGGAGCATTTTCCTCTGTTTCCACAGGCTTCAGAGAAGGCTTATTAGCCAAGTGACTGATGTGCTACTTGTGTCATTAAACACGTGCGGAATGCTGTGGTTATGAAACTACTTCAATTAGGTGGTGCACATCCCAGGGAAGTGAGGAGCTTAAAGAATATTTGGGTCATAGGAAAAGTCAAATTTCTTGAAAGCATATTTTTAAACCAAGGCTCTAGAAATATTCTTATTCTACGGATGTATTTCTTATTCTAGTGAATATTTTTGCATTTTAATTTAGGGTAAGAATGAGCTCAGTATATAGATACAGCTATCAAATTTGTAAGCAAATGGAGCCTATGAGAAGATTGGTGTAAGGATGTGGAATCTATGAGACTCCATTTATAAGCAAGGGGAGTCTATGAGAAGATTGGTATTTTTAGTAAAATTAGGAAAAGGGCCATTTTTACTAAAATTAGTAAAAGATCCTTCCCTCAAAAGAGAAGGAAAAATAGAAAACCATTTATATAATAATTCAAACAAAATTTTAATTATTTGATTTTTAGGCAGCAGTAAGAATGAATAAGACCAAGTATTTGATAGTACAACAGAGTGACTATAGTCAATAATAATTTAATTGTACATTTAAAAATATCTAAAAAAGTACAATTGGATTGTTTGTAACACAAAGGATAAATGCTTGAGTGGATAGATAGTCCATTCTCCATTATGTGATTATTATGCATTGCATGCCTGTATCAAAATATCTCATGTACCCCATAAATATATACCTACTATGTACTCATAAAAATTAAAAATTAGGCCGGGCGTGGTGGCTCACGCCTGTAATCCCAGCACTTTGGGAGGCCGAGGCGGGTGGACCACGAGGTCAGGAGATCGAGACCATCCTTTTAGTAGAGACGGTGAAACCCCATCTGGGTGACAGAGCGAGACTCTTTCTCAAAAAAATAAATAAATTCATTAATTAATTAAAAATTAAATATTAAAAAAAATGACCATATAGACAATTTTTAATTATTTTAAAAGTTTGGGAGATAGAGAAGACTTTTCCTTATTCTCAATGGATTAAGTTAGATGATGCATTTTATTGAACCAATTTCTGGGACATAGTAATGGAATTGATAATAGTTAAGGGTTTTAGGTTTAGCACAAAAATCACAACTGATCTAAGCCATGTTTCTTTGTTTGGCTAGCTGTTTACTTTCAGTTAAGGGGCAGGCTCTCATGTTTGGACCAAGCTTGTAGGTTTGTAAACCCTGGTCCTCTCATATAGCATTTGATATGACTTGGGGACACATTACTTAATCTTTTTGTGCCTCCATTTCCTCATATGTGAAATAAGAAAAATAACGATAGTAACTGCTTAGGACTGTTGATGAATTAAATATGTTAATATATGTAGCCTGTTTTCAACAGTACCTGTCACATAGCAAATATTACAGAAATATTAAGTACTTAACTGGTAGCTTGCCTGGTTATCAAATCATAGGTTGAAATCCATCTTCCTTTTCCTTTAGAATTTTGCAGATAGTGATCCATTTACCCTAATTATAGAATTTTATTAAATTACACTGCCATGATAATCATGAATCCTTTTTGCATTGCCTTTTCTCTTGCAAGGTTTTTAAGATTTTCTTTTGCTCCAACATTTGAAATTCACAAAGATGTTCCTTGGTATGAGCCTTTCTTCAACCACTGTGATGGGCAATGTCAGTGTCCTCTAAATTTGGAAACTAATAGACTTTACTTCTGGGAATTTTTATTAAGTTATCACTTTGATCGTTTCTTCTTCCCATATGTATTCTTCACAGTTTTGGCAACTCCTATTATTTGGATATTTATCTTCAAGGGATAATGCTTAAATTTCTGTTTTTTCTCACATTTTCTATGTCTTTTCATTTACTTTCTATTCTGAAATGTTTATTCTACTTTATTCTACAATGTTCAATACATGCAAGGGACTTTGAAAGTTCCTGGTACACATTAAGGGTTAAAGAAATAATGGCTTTCTTTTCCTCTTTCTTTTCTTCCTCCTTATCCTCCTCTTCCTTATCTTTTTTTTTTGCTTATTCTAACCTCCTAAGAATTATGTCCAATTTCTGGGTGTTTTATTAAATGCTCTGGTTTCAGCAGCATTTCTCTCCATTCAGTATATGTGGACCCCTGTTCTCAGTCCAGGAAAATATTAAATCATGTGTAAGTGAACCAGACTGGTTTTGTTTTTTTTTAAAATTACCATTTATTAAATACCCACTGTGTAGCAGGAAATCAACTAAACTGGCTTCCTTGAAAGCACTGAAACCAGTAGTCAAAACAACCCCATAAGATAATTTTGGTCTTATATAATTTTACAATAAGGACATCTCCTAATGTGTGCAGGAGTCTGATGCCTCAGCAGTTGTGATTAGCCTGGCTGCACTTGCACAGTTCTGACAATGGAATGTAGCTGGAATTCTCACTAGGGAAGGACAGAAGAAGATGCAAGCTTGTTGATTTACTCAGGTACAGGTATTTTTTATTTCAGTGAGCACAGAGGAAAATGAATATGTTGGGGAAGAAAAGCCTGGTGGATGTGTAGTCTGTATTAGTCCTCCCTGCAGTAAATGATGTACCGAAAATGCATTTTTCTCCATGTGAAGGAGTGACATATTTTAATTTAGATTCTCCCTTCTTGACCTCCCAATGACTTTCCATCAAATGAAATCATATTTATGTATGTGATTAATGCAGGCATGCCATGATTTGTAACTTTGGGGAGTTTTCATTCATTTATTTAGCCATCATTTCACTTACTCTATTACTTTTAGGTCAAAAAAAAATTTCTGGTACTCAACTGTTTGTGACCTAAAAAATGACAATTGCATAGATTTTGAAATAATACCTATTGAATTCTTTCTAAAAGTAACTGTGAGAGATTAAAAAATTATTAGATATAAACATAGATGGTATTAACAAGAAGATTATACATTTCTCTATATATACAACAAATGTTGTTTGAGCACATCCTATGCATTGAACTCAAAGGATACAGCATACAGTGGTAAACAAAATAGGTGCAGTCCATGCCCACATGGGGGTAAAAATCTTTTGGAGGAATAAAAATACACTTAAACCACTGTAACATAAGAAAGAAGTAATTGCTATAAAGTGGTATTGGAGTTCAAAAGAGAATGATGTAGGTCCTCCTAAAGAGATTCAGAAAAGGTTTCATATAGAAGGTGGTATAAAGGTGTGCCTTGAATATTGGTTAGAATAGTGAGGAAGGGCACACCAGCTGGAGGGAATGGCAAATATACCCAGGTGCATGCTTGATTCCTGTGGAAAATAGATAAAATTTTTCTCATAAATTGCTTATAGTGACTCAAGGGAGCAAAATATAAATAAGTAATTTTAATAAGAGGGAAGAATATGTGAGTTTACTGTAGGTATATCTACATTTGTTTTTCTTTATGCGAGAGTGATTCATTGTGACTATGGAAATCAGGAAGAACTTAGTCAAGACATTGTCATCTGATTTACTTAGAGTGCGGAATATAATTAACGTGGGTGAATAATTGAAAACAAGCCCTCTAAGTTGAAGGAAAGACAATGGGGAAGGCAAGGTAGTGAAGAAGTTTATGATGTATTTAAGGAACAAGATTATGATGTGATGGTCCTGGAGCTCACAGATAATAGAGATGAGGCTGTTCATATAGGTTGGAATAACTGAAGGAGAAGTTTGATATCTTATGCAGAATAGCTTGTATTATATTCAATAGGACATCAATGAAAGTATCTGAAAAAGCTTTTTTTTTCTTCTGAAAGAGCTAAGACACAGAAGAAGAAAATACACTGCCTAGATGATCTTTGTATTAAAATAGAGTGGCATTCAGTGTGGTATAGTGGCAAGAACAGTGAACTTGGAGTTGGAAGGTACAGGCAGATTGACTAATGCCTCTAAAGCTTAATTTCCTCAACCCTTCAAAATACAGAGTTAATTATTCCTAATTTTGCCTAATTTATAAGGCCATTGTCAATATATACAAGACGATGGTAACATCTGTTAGAAAAATGCAAAAGTGTGATTGTGAGTTGAAATTTTAAAAAGGTAACTTCGGAAAAGGGCGAATGACTTAGTAATCATCCAGTCTCCATACATGTTCACAAAATATGGGTATTGATGAAGAGTGTATTATATCATCCATGGCCACCATTGAATTCCCCCTCAAACAATAAATGCTGTCATGGATAAGCATTGTCCTCAACATTCCCCCAGTTAGAAGGGACAACAGACAGGGAAACAAAATAGTCATGTTTTGCCAGGACTTCTTTTAATTGTTTATAAGGACTTTGCCAATAGTTTCTTAGTCATTGCATCACATGGACCAGATGTAAGGTGAAGACACCCTCACAATCAGTGGGAAAGGAGAGCTTATAAAAAGAAAACTAAAAAACTTAAACAAAATTAATTGAGAAAACACTTAATTAGGAATTTATAGGATTAGATAACTAGTCCAATTCTGACTTCAATATCTGTACTAAAACATTGTTCTTTTTCCCTCTTTTTTTCTCCTCTGACTTCTTTTCTTAGCTACATGTTTTAGAAAATTTATGTTGTCTTTTAATGTGTGTTACCTGAAAATAGACTGTCTAGATACTGGCTGTTAAAATACAAGAATACAAGCCAAGGATGATCTAGCCAGTATATTTCCACTTCTGAAAATCTTAATTGTGCAGGACTTGTCATCTTTTTACAAAGAGAAAATCTGAGATCAGAGAAGTTATTGTGCCCAAAGACATATCAAAAAGTAAGTGACTATACTACGACCAGATGTAGTGGCTCATGCCTGTATTCCAAGCACTTTGGGAGGCCGAGGCAGGTGAATCACTTGAGGCAGGAATTCAAGACCAGCCTGGCCAACATGGCAAAACCCCTTCTCTACTAAAAATACAAGAATTAGCCGGGCATGGTGTTGCATGCCTGCAATCCCAGCTACTTGGGATACTGAGGCATGAGATTCACCTGAGCCCAGGAGGCATCACTACACTCCAGCCTGGGTGACAGAGTGAGACTCTGACTCAAAAAAATAATAAATAAATAAAGTAAGAGACTGTATTAGGATTCAAATCTAGGTTAATGTGACTGCAAGGTCAATGATCTTTTAACTCTACCATGTTGTTTTTTTATACATAAAACATAAGAGAGGACTTTTCTGTCCAGTATTTTTTGTTTCATTTTTTTAATTGACAAATAATTATAAATATTTATGGAGTACAATGTGATGTTTTGATACATTTATATCCACATATATTATCAGAAAACAATGCAAAGGTACACAAAAATTAAGGTTAGAGAATTGCTTGTGATGAGAAAAATAAGCAGAAAATTGCATAATTTAAAAAACCTATTTGTAGGGGGCTGATGAAGTAAAAACTAGTCATCTATGAAGTAAAATATTACATATGACTTAAAAACACTGAGGAAAGCTTATATGTATTTGTAAACAAAAGTTTCTAGGATTTGTTGCTACCTATATGCAAAGAAGAATTGTGAGAACAATGTGATTTTATTTCACAAAAATTATATTTTACCATATTTGTTTTTAAGCATACAAAATTTATGGAAGGATATAAAAGAAACTTATAATACAGCAGAGCATGGTGGCTCACGCTCGTAATCCCAGCAATTTAGGAGGCCAAGACAGGTGGATCACCTGAGGTCAGGAGTTTAAGAACAGCCTGGCCAACATGGTGAAACCCTGTCTCTATTAAAAATGCAAAAACTAGCTGAGTATGGTGGCAGGTGCCTGTAATCCCAGCTACTTGGGAGGCTGAGGCAGGAGAATCACTTGAACCCAGTAGGCAGAGGTTGCAGTGAACTGAGGTCGTGCTATTGTACTCCAGCCTGGGCAGCAAGAGTGAAACTCCATCTCAAAAAAAAAAAAAAAGAAAGAAAGAAACTTAAAAAGAAACATATAATACTGATAACCTCTAGAAATAGAGAAACAGATACTTTTATTATGCATCTATAGTATTGTTATTGATTTTATTACATGACTATTACTTATAATTTTAAATATTAAAATTAGGCAACATAAATGGAGAAAGATGGTTTTTAAAAGTACTAATAACTTTCAAATTCCATGTTTGAAATCAGAAAACTAACTTAACTCCAAAACACTGTTTCTCAGCAAGCTTCCCCTATGGCCAAAATTCAGGACAATTGCCTGTGTATAAAAAATGTGTGTGTATGTGATGTTGCTTTCAGAGTGACAGCTGGATGGGGAAAACTGGTCAAAGGCTGACCCACAGCATATGGTCTCACAGGTTTCTTGATTTGTGCACACATAGCATTCTTGGCAAGGTCAAGGGCAGGCAAGAAAGTGATTCATTAAATTTTTGTGGTTGATGTGCATTTGATGTGTACTGCAAGTCAGCATCTTACACATGCAGACCTCTGCTCCAGCCCTTTGTCTAATGAACAGGGACTCTTTCAAGTAAGGGACTTGAAAATTGCCTATGTAGGAGCAAAGAGCTGCCAGTACAGATTATAGACCCAATAGGAATATAACTGTTCAACCTCTAGTTGCGATTTTTGGCAAAAATATCTTATAATTAATAATAGTATTTCCAAATCTGAGTTTACTCCTACATACTTTAGGGAATTTGGCTAAATAACAGTGTTAATATTCTAATTTGTTATTTGTCATGTAGATGGAGTGTGGTGTTGTATAATACTTTGTATAGATGCAGCAAATACTAAGTCTCTGTTCCCAAAAAGCTTATCATCATTTAAACACATTTATCTTTGTGGTCAAGTTAAATGGCAATCCATCTACAAAATTTTATTTACAGGAAAGGTTAATATTAGCTAAAGGATCAAGAGAAAGTCTCAATGTTGAAAAAAGTATACAATAACTTCTTAGAGCAGTATAAGGTAATTTTTGATCCTTTTATTCCCCCTTTACTCATCTTGTAGAGATTTTTGAGTCCTGAGAAATTGGAAATACATTTGATTCCACATAAAAGTTATCACTGTAGTCTATATAATAAAATACTCTCTTTTTGTTCTTGTTTTCCTAACCTACTAACTGCAGATAGTCTTTAAGACTCTCGTATTCTGTATTTACTTCTTTAATGGTTTCATTTTTGACCCAAATCCCTATGATTTCCAAAACTGTACATCTCCAACTAGATGTCCCAAGATCTGTCCAGGATCTTGCCTTAATTTGCCATAGGATCTCTTCTCTCAGATGCCCCACAGTAACACCTAACCTTTCAAAAACCAAATTCATTTGAGCTCATTGCCTACTCCAGCCCACCCCATACTCTCCATTTCTATTTTTATATCCCAATCAGAGATATCTGTATCTTTCTTAGTTCAGAGCTATGGAGTCATTTTTCACCAGACCTTCTCTATCCTTTAAAAATTTTTTTCTCTCCAATTTGTTAATTATCTCCCTTCTTAAGCATGTGTCTTTCCATGGTTGTTACTATTGTTTAAATTCTCATTTTCCTAAAAATAATCTAGAAATACTATCCAAATTATTCTCCACTGTCTACTCCAATGATTCATCTTATCCAGAGATATTGCTCAAGTTCTATAGCGTGTGATAGTAATAGTGGTCTATCAAAAGTCCTGCTTATGGCTTAGGCGTGGTGGCTCATGCCTGTAACCCAGCACTTGGGGAGGCCGAGGACGGCAGCTCACTTAAGGTCAGGTGTTCAAGACCAGACTGACTAACAGGGTGAGACTCCATCTCTACTAAAAATACCAAAATTAGCCAGGCATCGTGGTGCATGCCTGTAATCCCAGTTACTCATGTGGCTGAGGCAGGAGAGTCGGTTGAACCCAGGAGGCAGAGGTTACAGTGAGCCAAGGTCGCACCATTGCACTCCAGCCTGTGGGACACAACAAGACTCTGTCTCAAAATAAAAAAAAAAAAAAAAAAAAAAAAGAGTTCTGCTTAGCCCTCTTTTGTTTTCCCTAAACCAGCTATCAGATTTAATTTGTATTGTTCCCTTCTACACCGACTACATTTAGACACCCTGGTCCTTTGCACTAGTGATTCTTGCTGTTGTACATGCCTGACTTATTAATGCCATCAAGCAAATACTCTATGTCTTTCAGAATCTGGCTAAAGTGGCCTCTTTCACCCATGTATTTTCACTTTATTTTTTGTCCTAGGCTCATTTGTTACTTTTACTACAAGCCTGTCCTTAGGTGGATTTATATGAACTTCAGAGTTTACCCTGCACCACGAACTTTGACATGTAACTAAACAAAATGCATGGTCCTGTTATTTTGAACATCTGCTCAATTCTAAGCTCTTTCGGAGATGAGACATTTGTTCCATCCCCTTACTATCATCTATTTTAATGGTTTTGTATCCAATACTGCCCAAGCTCCCACTCAGGGCATGCATAGGAATTAGACAAATTTACTGTTTAGGTGAACATATTTTTTATAAATAAATCCCCAAAACCTGGGTATAATACCAAAGCACCCATATTCTCCAGTTCCTTGAATATTTGAAGAAAAACATCATTCTAGGTACCTAAGCATTTTCATTCTATGATCAGAGTAAACTTATAGATAATATATAGACGTATTATCATTTGGGGCTAAGAACACATTTTTCCCTCAATTATTAGTTCTCTTTGGCAGTTTACAACTATTTTATGTTCCTGCCTTCCTCCTACATGGAGGTGGCCCTATTAATTCTTAAAGCGTTACAGGGCTAGTTAAAAGATTTTGAATATTCTTCTGTAATTTACACATTACAGAACTTGGTCTTTCATAATCCACAAAGTAAGTTCTTACATCTTTTGAAATTTTTGACAATTATATTTCGTCTCTTTTGAACATTAAGGATATATTATTAATACTACCTCAAAATAAACAGCTTGTTTTATAAGAGGACAAGTGGATTTCTTTTTTTAAACTGCCTATGTCAAAATTTCTACCTAACACAAAGCAACCCTTCTGGGGCCTTTCTGCATAATTACCGTTTCTATTTTTTCCTATCCTTGTTTTATTTTATTTTATTTATTTATTTATTTTGAGACGGAGTCTCGCTCTGTCGCCCAGGCTGGAGTGCAGTGGCATGATCTCGGCTCATTGCAAGCTCCGCCTCCTGGGTTCACGCCATTCTCCTGCCTCAGTCTCCCGAGTAGCTGGGACTACAGGCACCCGCCACCACGCCTGGCTAATTTTTTTTGTATTTTTAATAGAGAGAGGGTTTCACCGTGTTAGCCAGGATGGTCTCGATCTCCTGAACTCGTGATCCACCAGCCTCACCCTCCCAAAGTGCTAGGATTACAGGCGTGAGCCACCGCGCCCAGTCTTTCCTTCCCTTCTAATGGTAGCATATATGGATGTGGAGAAGTAAAGATTCTATGTCTGGCAATTACTGCCTGTGCTTTTTATTACCTGGTATAGTGTTCTTTTACTTGTTTTAGAGTATGTTATTGCTTTGTAAGCCTGCAAGTCATTGACTGTTACCAATGAAAGGAGATCATGATGAGAAATACAGTTAAAACACTACAATCTGAAGTGATGGGAAGATTTGGCTTAGAGAAGTTCTCTATAGTAAAAGATATGATGTCTAACTAAGAATTGAGTAAGAGGGAAGGAAATTTGCCATTTTAGGAGAAAATTAATTAGAAGCACTCAATATATCATTCTTGTGTCACCTGCCCAAACCTTGATCCTAGGCCAGATATCAAACTTTATCTGCTGATATTGGGACTTACAGAAGTGTTGATACTAAGCCCTGGTTACGGACTTTGAGTCGTGATCTTGTTTCCCTACACTCCTGGCTTCCCTAGGTTATTTGATGAGTCCTACTCATATTCTTATAGCACTCAACTGGTTGTTCTATCAGTATTACTCATAGGAATTGGTGACATAAATTTTTCTAACACCTCCCAAGGCCCTTTAGAAAGTAGTACTTCCAACACTTGCAGGATAGAAACCTATTTATTTGTAATTACCTAGTTCAACAGACGGAAACAGCGTCTATTCTCTACCCTCCATTGTATCCAAGGAAAGGATATTTCTTACAGACAAAATTGCTACAAAAATCATGAGTCCTGTGATGGAGAATCAGAGATTTGATGGCTAGTATATCTCCTTGAACAAATAGTACATGTCTGAGCATTCCTTTATCCTCCGATCCCTGTCCGCCACATTTTTTTTTTTTTTTTTTTTTTTTTTTGCTGGCGTTTATGAGAGTGGCTTTGTTCTTTGTATGTCTTAAAAATATATTCTTTTCTTTATTCATGTTTATTCACTAAATGCCTATGGCCCAGACTTTCTCGTTTGTTCATTCTTAGTCTCTCAGAATGTATTGCTTGTCCTTTTCTGCATTCAACTAATAGAAGATTCCTGAACCATAATTATGCTATTTACGGGGGACTGCTTTGTTAAGCTACTTCCTTGAAAAAGGATATTCCAAGATTCTGTTGGTCATTAATTCAGACAGGATGCATATCTAGAAACAGGAAGTTTATTTTTAAAAAGTTTTTTTTCACATCAGAGATCTCACAAAGAAAAAGAAGCCTAGTCAGCCATATGAAGAAGCCTAGTCAGCTTATATGAAGTCTAGTGAGTTTATATGAAGATAATAGAGAAAGAAGGCAGCCTAGTCAGTTTATACGAAGATAAGAGAGAAGGAAGGCAGCTAGTAAGAGTATTTTTAAAGTACATTCCAGATACTTTATTTCTAATTACAGAATTGTTTGTGTCCATGATAGAGAATGTGATAAGTACATAAAAGCACAAAGAAGTTGAAAATGATTTATATTACCACCACTAAAATATAAAATATATCCAATGCTATAATATCTTGGTATATACCTTTTTAAATATATGCCACACATTCCGGTTGAAATTATGGACTCTCTTTCCAGACTGTCTGCATTCAAATCACAGCTCTGTCACTTCCTAAGAATAAAACTGGGATTTACTTGACCTCTCTGTGCCTCAGTTTCCATATTTGTAAAATAAGAGTCAAAGTAGTACTGGCCTATTTGTTTTGTTTGTTGTGAGTATTAAATGAGTTAATACATGCAAAGCTTTTCAAATTCTGACTGGTTACAGTAATGTAGTTTTAATTGCTTTTACTGACAAAGATGATGTTACTATATAATTAATGGATTTGAAAACTCTGTGTGGCTTGTCTTCCAATTGCCTAAAAAACTACTTTTTATACCAGGAAGTTTATTTTTGAACTGAGGTAACTTTATTGGCAGACATTAACAAAGCTTACAGAATTTTTATCAGTAATCAAGTAAGAAATTTCTTAATTGTTTTTCGAGACCCTCAATTTTTAAACAGTAACAATTAAATTATTTTCTTAATATTTTTGAGAAATAATTTTCTCAAGGGCATTTTTCATTGACTCTTGCAAATTTGAGTTTGGTAAGATTTCTTTTTTTATTTTTAATTTTTTTATTATACTTTAAGTTCTAGGGTACATGTGCACAATGTACAGGTTTGTTACATATGTATACATGTGCCATGTTGGTGTGCTGCACCCATTAACTCATCATTTACATTAGGTGTATCTCCTAATGCTATCCTTCCCCCATCCCCCGACCCCACAACAGGCCCCAGTGTGTGATGTTCCCTGCCCTGTGTTCAAGTGTTCTCATTGTTCAATTCCCACCTATGAGTGAGAACATGCGGTGTTTGGTTTTTTGTCCTTGTGATAGTTTGCTGAGAATGATGGTTTCCAGCTTCATCCATGTCCCTACAAAGGACATGAACTCATCCTTTTTTATGGCTGCACAGTATTCCATGGTGTATATGTGCCACATTTTCTTAATCCAGTCTATCATTGTTGGACATTTGGGTTGGTTCCAAATCTTTGCTATTGTGAATATTGCTGCAATAAACATACGTGTGCATGTGTCTTTATAGCAGCATGATTTATAATCCTTTGGGTATATACCCAGTAATGGGATGGCTGGGTCAAATGGTATTTCTAGTTCTAGATCCCTGAGGAATCGCCACACTGACTTCCACAATGGTTGAACTAGTTTATAGTCCCACCAACAGTGTAAAAGTGTTCCTATCTCTCCACATCCTCTCCAACACCTGTTGTTTCCTGACTTTTTTAATGATCGCCATTCTAACTGGTGTGGTTCTAATAAATAAAATATTCTTACATTTCCCTTTCTAACTTTATAAACCAAAAAGTCTATTTATTTTCATTTACCATTAAACTTCTTTTTACACCAGTCTGCATGTCTTCTCACCTTTCAAAACTGGTAGCACTACCGAGAAATAAACTTCAATAATAAAGAAAATATTGATTTTGTTCATTTTTTTTTTACTCCTTGGAAGCGTCATTATTGATTTCATAATTATTCAAAAGGACAAAAATAATGAAACATGTCATATTTTCTTCAATATCAAATTAGCAAATGCTAGAATAGGGCTAAAGTCTATAATGTCTTTGGCCACATGTTGGAGAAGTAAAAATTTGTAATTGATTTGCTGGTTCTTGATGCTTATAGTTAAAAAAGTTCAAACTAAAAGTGTTTAGAGTTTAAGAGCGCTTGGTGGAGTAAAATAATATATACTTTTTTTTTTTAGTTCAATGTCAAATGTGTTCAAAGACTACGTAGCCACTAAAGGAAAAGAAGCCAGAGCCTTTTTTACCAGATAAAACAAAACTCATGGGTTTGCATAGCCTTATCTTCCTGAATTGTATCACCTCCTTCCATTTAAATATTCTAAAAAACAAATAAGAGACTAGTTTAATGTCCAAAGAATCTTACTGAACCTGATCCATTCTCTGTCCAGAAGGAAGAGAAGGACATCTAATAGGAACACACTATTTCTTTTTATGAGGCTGCTTTATTTTCTTTCCACAATCCCCCTCCCACTCATAGATCACGATGAATTGGCACATGGATTTCATACAATTCAGGCATGTTTCATATACAAAAGGCAAATTACCTGGCTATTCACTCACTAGTAAGTCTTTCAACCAGAACCTAACCCCTCTCTTTGTCCTTAACTTTTTGCACAAACATGATTACTTCTCCATAGTGCTTAGTGATTACAAAACTTTTATGGAAATTAGAGTAGAGTTTCACCTGGAGTGGATGAAGAGCCTGTATGTAGAAGATTATCAATTTTCAGCCTCCCTATTCCTTGTTCATTACTTTTTCTACACTTATTAGAAGCAACACTTCTTGAACTCCCAAGACATACAAACAAGTGGGGGGAAAATAACTGATTTGACAGAATGACTTAATCACTTTTGAAATGTGAAAGATGCAAAGTATTTACTATGGAAAAATGTAAAATCAATAGAGTTTATTTGCAACACCATACAATGCTTTCATAGGCCCCATGATTTTGTTTTATTACCTCCAAATAGCCAACTGAACTTTATTCCCATATACCAGGACATTCATGAGCAAGGAATGAGCAAATTCATGAGCACCTCTGGAAGAGGTGGGGAGTGAGCTTTAAATAATCCTTATCTGGAACACAAAAAACAAAACAGCTCACAGCTTTTCATCAGACAGGTACTGAGTGACAAAATGCAGCTCATATTGTGTGGAATTTTTCAAACAAATGAAGACCTCTGATTAAATAACTTGGCACTTTGGCTTCCTGCAATTCTAAGGAGTATCAATGGAAGCATTGTGGCACAGTCCTATTAGACTCCTTGGAGCTATAATTAACCATCAGAGAGAAACAAAAATATTTTTAAGATCCATTATGATTAATTTTCACAGGATGTGTTGGAAGCCTTACAGGAGACATTAGTAGTCTGCATATTTATAATTAACAGATCACAAACACTAATGATTTTCCCAACAGGGACTATTTAAATAAAAAGCTTTGTTGATGTGGGATTCAAACACATAGGATCTAGTCCCTGAAAGATATGTTTTACAGAGATTTTAGGCCAATGCACTGTGTTCTCCTGATGAGATGTTGTTGTCTATGCTTCTGTTTGAAATGGTCATAAGGGAAAATCTCCTTGGCTGCTTCTGGCTAGAGCAACATGTGCAAAGTGAGGATTTGGACCGCGTGCTCACCTTGGAGAGAATTTATGCCACCGTGGTGCGGACACAGCAGGAAGAAATTAGCTCTTTAGTTAAGTGTTGGAGTCTGGTTTCCAAAGCCTTTGTATTTGGAATTTTTTGATCACCTCAGCCAATCAAAGTTGCCAAAGGAACACAGATTTCTATTAATGAGATTATGTAGTTATCATATAAATCATCAATGTATTTGAGCACACAGAAGTAATATGATGCCAATGTCTGTGTAGAACTAGAAAAAATAAAATCATCTTTTGCATCAATTCCACTTTGCAAATAAGAACTTCAAATGAGAAATTATTGGGCAAAAACTGTCAATGCGATACATTCACCTCTGCCTCTAATCTTCTCCAATCCACTTACGAAATATTTTCTGTGGGTAAAAATCAAGTTTTGTCACTGAAATCTTCAATGATAACTACCTCTATCTTTATTATGATGTAAGGATATGGTTTTAATTCCTTATGTTTTCTAATATTGTTCCAATCTTTCAAGTGAATCCTGCCTGTACTTGCTCTTCTCTATCTCAAAAAACTTCAGTTCAACCTTTAAGGCCTTTAAAATTTTAGACACATGTATCTCTTATTTGAATCTTTTTTGGCCCATCCTCTTCTGTTGCCATTTGTTTAATACTTCCCACATCTGTGCTAATATGGCCTCGTGTGTGTGACTCTATTATGTGCTGTAACACTTGGTAAACATGGATTGTGAGTCCCCAAAACCTAGAGAATATTTTGCTTGTATTCTTCATTACCTTGGAAGATATTTGGCTCAAAATATGTTGAATGAAAAGACTTGTAAGCAAACTATTTGGTTTATTTCATCTTACAGAAACATTTGTACACATCTATGCTTATATTTAACTCTGACTCAATAAGAAATGAGGTTTGTCTGAGTTGAAACATGAGCTGACAGTACCCAGCTACATTTTAAAAATATATCTGAAGTATAGAAGAGTAGAGCAACCTTACTTTAAAAATCTTATTGACTTAGTGAGGATGTCAATTAAAACAGAGAGAGAGAGAGAAGAAAGATATGTTTAAGAAGTTATTAAAGTTAAGTTATAATTTTTTTAATTTTATTATGCCAAATGTGGAAAGCATAAAAAGTGGGAGAGAGAAAACCCCAAAGCCTTATATGTATAGATGTGCAATCGACTATGTACATTTTCGGTATCCCAGACTAGTTATCAATGAAGAGAAACTCAACTGATTGCTAGCTCATATCTTACCTGAAATAACACTATACTTATAATAACAGAATTTGATTTTTTTTCAGTCGTCTCACTAGCCTAAAATTTATAGCCATAATTTTTCAATATTGAAAGAGAATGGTCTAAATTTTCAAACTTGATTCCTTTCATTTTCTTACCCATGAGCCCACTAACACATAAGTTTATAATATGCTTTTTTTTTTTTTTTTTTTTTTTTCCCGAGACGGAGTCTTGCTCTCACCCAGGCTGGAGCGCAGTGGCGCGATCTCGGCTCACTGCAAGCTCTGCCTCCCGGGTTCACGCCATTCTCCTGCCTCAGCCTTCCAAGTAGCTGGGACTACAGGCGCCCGCTACCATGCCCAGCTAATTTTTTTGTATTTTTAGTAGAGACGGGGTTTCACCATGTTAGCCAGGATGGTCTCGACCTCCTGACATCATGATCCGCCTGCCTCGGCCTCCCATAGTGCTGGGATTAAGGCGTGAGCCACCGTGCCCGGCCTAATATGCATTTTTTACAGAAATTTTAGTCCCCTCTCAGATGCCTTTTTGTATCCCAATAGGTGTCTAATATTCATGGCATTCCAGGAAAGATTTGAAGAGAGAAGCATTATAACTTCATAAATGATTTTGTTAAAAATGTTAGAGCAGCTACCACTGAAAGAAAATGCAATGGACTTTACTGGTCATGAAACAAAAATGAGGGACAACAAAAAGAAAGAGCAAAATTAAATTTTGTTAATATTATTCAATTGCCAGAAACAGCAGCAGTATCAATTAACCTAATTGGTTCTAAGTATGGTATCTGGGGTAGCTTTGCTTGTATTTGACTGTGATGGCAGTTTTATTGAATGAAAATATCAATAACTTAAAACATTTACAGCAAAGGGTGAGGTTTCATTTGTCCTCAAAGGTAGGACAAGACTGCAAATTATAAAGCATCAGAGTCTATACAGATGATCTACTAAGACAGAAGTGAAAGGAACAAAGAAAGGAGGAGGAAGAAAAAAAAATGTTCAGTTGCTTTATTGAGGTTGAATATTACCAAGCTGCTTTGAATGTATTCAGGGAAAGGCAGATCATCACACCTCTGAGAATGACCATGGGGAAGCACACTTTTGAAATAACTTGAGAACCTGGGATTAAATTTGTGCATGAAGAAGACAGAACTCAGATTGAAACTCATCTCTGTCACTGGGTAGATGTGAGAACTTCTGCATGTTATGTAATATCTCTAATTTCCTCACTTGTAAAATCGGAATAGGATTACCTCCCTGCCTAAATTGTGGGGAATAAATGATATAACATAGGTAACAGTGCGGTGTTTTGTATGTTAGAAGATGCAAAATGGTAATAACAAGAACAACAATAAGAATACCAACCTTTTTTCTCCATGGGAAGAGTTCTGTGAACTGGGGTGGCTTTCATTTTCCCTGTTTTCATTTCACTCATTCTTTCTTTGAAATCACTGGGCAAGCATAAAGGATAATTTTCTAAATATAGTCATTTGGAAAAAGCATGGTTAGACTTTACACTCAGCTAGCTCCAATCCCTGTTGCCGGGTTTGTTTGTAATTGTAGTTTAAGCATATATTTAAATTATGTGCCTTTAATAGGATCTTTTTAAATTGCCAAAATAACTTCTAAATCAAGATGGCTGATTGTGCATTCATTTTCACCTCCTTTTCACTTATACTGATATGACAGTATGACAATAAAATGTAGAATAAGTTTACA
Source organism: Homo sapiens (assembly GCF_000001405.40). Taxonomy (NCBI): domain Eukaryota; kingdom Metazoa; phylum Chordata; class Mammalia; order Primates; family Hominidae; genus Homo; species Homo sapiens. The sequence continues at coordinate 40,787,577 of NC_000011.10, read as the reverse complement.
ACAGTGATCAGCATCAGAGAGTATGCCATTAGCATTTCAAAGATTTTGAAGAGCTCTCAAAGGAGGAAACTAGATGGGATCACGTTGAAAACTGCTGCTGTAGACATGCAATGGAGAATGTTGCAACGGAAGTAGGACCAGTTCTTTTTCGCATAGTCGCATAGAGGCCTCTCACTTGTCAGCAAGCACAAAGGAAAGGAATAAGCAACTGGAATAGTAACTGCCACAATTCACTAACGGACTGTCACCCAACAGTGAGACTAGTCAGATCCCTTTCTCCTCCCTTGTTCCCTCTGTTCCTCCCCCTACCCCCCCCAGTTGGCAATTAACAGAACAATGTGTGACAGACAATTTTACCACCTAGGGAAAATATTTTAATTTCTCTAAAGAAATTCATAAATCTGGAGAAGTAGAGGGTCTGCTTCTTATTGTTTATGTTAGCACCTGAAAGAGAAGTAGAACAGAGACTGAGACATGGGGAGAACTACTATGTGGCTCTTCAGCTCCTGGTAAAACTTATTTGGCATGGAGGTGAGTGTCTCGGATTGCCTGTCTGCTCTTCTGACAGAAATGACAATAGGAACATTTCTATATAAGAGAAATATTGAGGATTTCTCAAGGGAGGAACCAAAAACCTTGACCAAGACCTACTTTTACATAGTGAGTGCGCCAGTTTAAACTTAGGGTATTTTCTTATTACAAATGTTTTCTGGATGGGGGGTGGGGGAGATGTTAATGAAGATTTGGAACTTGTACTGTAGTTACATCCTCAAAGCAAGCATGCTCAGCTGTTGGCTCGTGTGTCTATTTGGGGTGGGTGAGATTTGACTAATGAAGATTATAGGGTAGAGGAAGTAAAATATTTTTAATTTTTTCCTTGTTGACCCTTGTTACATACACCAATGATACCAAGTAAGAAATTTTTACTCCACTTTCATATTATGTTTGGCCAAGTCTTTTATTCAGGAAAGAATCCTACTGTGGTAGTAGCGATCAGCTTTTGCTGTGTAACAAACAATCAAAAAACTCTCAGAGGTATATGATATACGTTTATATGTCACTTAGACTTCTACACATTGGCTGAGGTGGCTCTGATTCAGGTTCAGGGACTTCAAGCATCAGCTAGGGTGGTTCTGAACTTTAAGTCTCATTAAAGATCCCGAAGACTGTGACTACTTATTGTATTTTCTTCTTGTGATGATGGCAGAAACAAATATGGCAAGCTCAACTGCACAAGCATATCTCAAGCATCTGCTCAAGTCATATTCACTAACATCCCATTGGCCAAAGCAAGTTGCAAGGCCAAACTGAAAGTCAAAAGGTGGGGAAGACAATTCTGCACATCATGAGGCCATGCAAAGGTATAAATGTATATAAAAATTTGAGGGGAATGAATATTTTGGACCAATAATTCAACTTATTGAAGAGAAAGAGAACAAAACTCACAGCTGAAAGCATAGAAGCTTCCAGAGCTAATTAACTTTGTCTTTCATCGTTCGTATGAGTTTATATGCAAAGACTAGAAACATTTAAGAAAAATGATGGGAAAGAAAATAGGACACCAATTTTCATGTATAATTTGTTAAGGAGTCACTGGATTCTGAAAAAAACAAAAACAAAACTTGCTGATTTTCAGTGGGATTTCCTCTCTTCTCAACTTCCGTTTTTTTTTCCAACAATATCTACTGTTCATCTACTCTATGCTGAGTCAATGTGCAATGAGATGGTAAAGTATGACAGATACATTTTCATTAGAATTGAGGTAGAATTTGCCTTGTCTTGGAGTGAGCGGTCAATTTTGGACAGAACCTAGTACAACCTAAATGACAAATGTCTTAGTAGAATTTGAAGCTGTTTCCCCAGAAACAGTTAAAAGTGTATTGTTTTTGTGTATTTTGAAAAGACAGCACCTTACCTCATCCCACCAAAGGATAGTGGATATACTGTTGGAGCTTCCAGTGAATCAGATAAAGATTGGTTCATAGTGTCTGATTCCTATGTATAAATTCATTCTCTAAATTGTACAGTGACAAGAAAACATTTTGAATTGCACATTATAAAAAGAGGAAATGGGTTTTATGGATTATTTCTCTAGTAAACTATAACCAAGAGATGCCATTTTAGATATATCAAAAAAGTGCCTCTAATAATACCCTTTAGTGACATCACTTCACTTAAAGTAAGAATCAAATTAAGAGTTAGGCAATTTATGGTAGTTGAAGAAAAATAAATTTTTTTGCAAGTTATGAGTTTGGAAGTTTAAAAGTTGAAGGACATGCTGTAACTATAGAAAAATGATGGGACTGAAATACACACCCAGTTTTTGTTATTACTCATAAATCTCGCCTGACATTAGCAGAATTCAGCCTATGAATCATAGATTTGTATTCATTCCTCGGCATCATCTCTTATCGTATCCAGACAGAAATGTGTTAATTAGCATAACAACATAGATTATATAGCTGTGTGATAATTCTAAAATTGTAGCTGATTTCACTAAATTCTAAATCTACACATACATTATCATTGCAATTAATGAGCAGGGCTTTATCATTATGAAACTCGTCAGGTATTTTTAAAATGTTCTCTTTCTGTCGGCTGACGGTAACTCTCCTTTTGAAAAAGTCCCAAACAGTCACATTTTCTTCCTCCCTTTCTATTAATACTTTTTTTCTTCTTTCTTTCTGTGTTTTTCCCCCTTATCTTTGCTTTCTTCTTTCTAATTTATTGGATCCTAAAAGCATGTTGTATGCACCTTAAAAACTATACACTATTTCATACCCTTTCTAGACTAAAGATCAGCGCAATTTTTGACACTCTCGTCTTTCCTAAGGATTATTTGCTGTTACAGTCATGCCATTGACTGCAGCATGTGCTATGATAGGATGAATCTTTCAAATTAATTCACTTTATTTAAAATCAACACATATATTTCTGTAACAAAAATATCTGCAAACAATCAAAACAAGAATAAGGGAGATACAAAATAGGGGTGTTTGTGAGGCATCAATGACTTATTACATAAAAAATTACTTTAAGTTGTGTTCAAAAATGTTACTATCATTGCTTGATTAAATATAGCAGAAAAAATGAGATCTAATAGATTTTATCACTACCTCATATTGACTATTTTGCTTTTGCTTTTCCAAGCTCTTTCCCAATCCATTTAAACAGCTGAGGACCACAGCAATCTGACGAGAGAGGTAGGACGGAACTTTATTAGAGAAGGCATGTGCTTCCTTGGTCCCTTGACTCATTTTATAACAGAATTCAACTCTTCAGCCTTCTGTAGGGTAAACCTGGGCAGTTGCTTAGTGACTGCTTGCCAATTGCTCAGAGGATTTAGATGAAATTTGAAGGTGATGCTTCATTTCTAAATTCTCAGTGAAACATGAAGGTAAACATTTTGAAGGAGTGAAGTAGAAACCCAAGAAAATGAACTATTAAATGAACATAATACATAGGATTATTCTTTAATGAATGTATATATATATATAAATAAACATCTTTCATTAGAAACTTGATAAATGATTCTTATTTTAACTAAAGGACAACTCAGAATGAATCCTCTGACAAAGTATGCAAATAATATTTTTTTAAATAGCGGTATTTGTCCAATGAATGTTGCACTTTAAAGTAGTAGCTTGCTTGTAAGACACTATTTTCAAGATTGTGGTTTTATCACATTTTACAAAATAATTCTGGGCTCATCTTGCAGAATTACCTTTACAGCTGATTTACAAGGCACATGAAATCCTATCCTATTACCAAAAATTACTCAAATACATTTTCTCAATTTTGACACTTATGTTCTCCATACTTAAATCTTTCCCTGATATGATATTAAAAATAATAACATCAAATGCTGCATTTTTAACACAAATTCCAAAACTGTTGCAATCAAGTGTATAATTTCTGGAGAAAGAATATAATTTCAAAAGGCATTTATATTTTAAAAATAAAGTAGCTCAGGCAGAGTGGCTCATGTCTGTAATCTCAGCACTTTGGGAGGCTGAGGTGGTGGGTAGATCACTTGAGGTCAGGGGTTCAAGACCAGCCTGGCCAACATGGTGAAACCTCATTTCTACTAAAAATAAAAATAAAAAAAGAAACAAATAGCTGGCAGTGGTAGTGCATGCCTGTAGTCCCAGCTACTCGGGATGCTGAGGCAGGAGAGTCACTTGAACCAGGGAGGTGGAGGTTGCAGTGAGCCGAGATGGTGCCACTGCATTCCAGCCTGGGTGACGGAGCAAGACTCTGTCTCAAAAAATAAAAAATAAAATAAAATAAAATAAAATAAAATAAAACAGTGCTCACTTAGCCAAATAATCTCTTATAAGATCACCGAACACCTTAAAATTGAATTATATAGACATACAATTAACAAATTTGTTCTTCTGACAAAGCATAGTGTTCAATATTTCAAACTTCGCTGCATTTAAGAAAATATTATTAACAGTGGTATTTTTAAGGGGTGGTGAGTAATCAACACTTGTATTTATGACTATGAACCAATAATATGTTGTTTGAGAAGAATAATCTTCATGGTAACAAAATTGTTGTATTTATGTCTAAAAATAATGCATGGCACTAGCCAAGTGGTGGTCAAAACTAACTGAATTTATAAATATATATAAAATACACACACATATACACACACATACATACATACACATATGTATATGTATAAACATGTGTATGTAGATGTATACACATGTGTGTACATCTGTATACACACACATATATGTATAGACAGAGAGAGACAGTGACAGAAAGACTTTTTACCATAATTGACTACATAGAAATGCTGTTTGTTATTTTGAGTAATATCTCATGAATAGAAATAATATCCACCAGGTTTGTAACAGATTCAAAAACTCTATTAATAATCTTTGTCATAGGAACCATAAGTAACAAAAGCAATACACAAACTAACATTATAATTTGTTTGCCCAAACTCAGACTTTTTGAATTTATGCTTGTACCAATTCTTAATTACAATAGGAAACTCTAGTGGAAGGCCAAGAGTATGAGAATGAAGTAAATTGAGATTCAACTGGGCATTTCAGTTTCATTCAAGTCCTTTTGTGGCTGCTAATAAAGATGCTATAGTTCCTAGAAAAAAAAAAAAAGTATGCAATTAGGTGGGAGGAGCTGTGGGCCAGAGAAGACTAGGAGATAATGGTGTGTTCATTCTCATCCCCCTAAAAGTGAGAGCAGCCATACCAGAGCCTGAAGCAGCTCAGAATAAATGTAGCAACATATATTAGGCACTGCATCAGGACGGGTAGTAACTGTTTCCACTGATTCTGTCTTAAGACAGGAACCAAAAAAATGTTACTATGACATAGTAAAAGGTATCTGAAAGTATATATGCCGAAAACATAATTAAGGGAAATGAAAGCCATTACTAATAAAACAAGTTGAAAAGCTGACAGAGGAAAGAGGGCTGGGAGGCTGTTGTTTGGAAGCAAAATCAGTAATGCCCATTTTAAGGAAGAAGAAAAAATAGGCATGCAGGCTTTTGGCTTGAAATTAAATGAAAGTAAGGGATTGTAAATCAATAATGCATTAAAGGGGGCAGAAAGCTAATGGTTCTTTTGTTTCAAATTGCAAATGGCATTTTTTGTATTCCACTGTAAACCTTAAGTGATGGCTTTGTTAATTACAGAGCAGAAAGCCTGGCATTTCACTTTCCTGATTACACAAATCTCTACGTTACCAAGCCTTGACTTTATTTACTCTGCATTTTGGTGCTTTTAGGTGTGAACTAAGAGCTATCACTAGTCTGGCATTGGGAGAACCCATTTCTCAAGACAGGATTTTCAGCATAGATGATTAGAGTCCAGTTGAATACAGGGGAAGACCCTAAGAGACAAAATTAGTAAATGAAAATATTGGCAAGGGGGAGTAAAAGAACCAGATAGTTTAAGATATTTTGCTATGCTTAAAAGTCAAATCCTTTAGTCATTATCTTTTGTGCTTGTAGGTAAAGGAACTATTATGCCAACTCTGAAAATTTATCTGTAAGTTCAAGGTGAGGCATAGTATTTGGAAAGCTTCCTAAAACTTCCGATAAAGGCTAAGAGCTGGCCCAAACCTACGTTAAATAACACAGAATGTTGTGCTATAGCAGGCAATCCTAAAGTGAAGCCTTGGGATTTTTGTGAACTCATAATAAGAAATTGATGGTCAATTTCTTAATTGGTTGATATTATTTTGTAAATATTTTTGTATATATAAATATATGTGTGTGTGTGTATGTACACACACATATGCTGTCATATGCCACATAATGACATTTTGGTCAATGACAGACTGCATATACAATGATAGTGCTATAAAATTATAATACCCTGATTTTACTGTACCTTTTCTATGTTTAGATACATTTAGATACACAAATATTTACCATGGTGTTACAATTGCCTGCCATATTCAGCACAGTAACATGCTGTACGGATTGGTAGACTAGAAATAATAGGCTATACCATATACTCTATGTGTGTAGAAGGCTACATTATCTAGATATGTGAAAGTACACTCTCTGATGCTTGCACGATGACAAAATTGCCTATTTCCCAATTTCTTAGAACATATCGCTGTCAGTAAGTGACCCATGACTGTTTATGTATGTACATTTTCATTTTACATTCTCTCCGCACATCTTTCACTGATCCCTTTTTCTTTTTCCTCCCTCCCTTTCCACTCCCTAGACCTCTTCACCTGCATAAGATTCTCCTGGCAATCTGCATGTTCATTATCCTTCCTCGTATTAAAAAAAAAAAAGCCTCTTATCAGTTTTCAATTTGCTAGCTCTCTGAATTCATGGAGTGTTATTTTACTCTATTATACATTATAAGAACTGTATATGAGGTTCAGTTTCAAAGGATACTTTCTAAATGCCATTTGTTATAATGATGTTTAGGAACAGGGCTTTGGTGATGACCCTTTGTATCTATTTTACATATTTAAAAAAGGTCAAACACCCTCCTCTATGTCATTCATCATTAATGTAGCTCTATTATCTTTCTTGGTATCTTCTCCTTTTCATATTAAATAGCTCTCATTCTCTGAAACTCTTCTTTTAGGAAATTACTTTACTGTAATCACATTTCTTACCTTTCTCAAGATCTTTCTTATTCCTGCTTTGTCATCTTAGAAATTAGATGAGAAAATGAAATGTGATGTATAAAATGAGGGCATCCACTTACCAATATATATTTTCGAAATTTTCTTTTTATTCCTGTGTATGTAGGTCCACAATGAAGTCTGCAGTACCATAAATACATTCAAACTTTGACATTTTTAAGGTGATAATTTTTTAAAATAAAGTATGTTGTATTGGAATTTACCAGGGCATTAAAAAGAATTTTTTTATGCAGGCAAATGCCAGAGCTCTTACCAAAGAATACTCAAGGTACCTTTTTAATATGATGGATGTGTATCTTTTAATATTTTAGTATTTTTCAGTGTCAGCATACTAGAACTAGATTGTAGGCTTAGGAAACGGACACTATTTAAGTCTTATTTTAAAGATGAAGAAATCGAACCATTCTGCTAGTAAAGAACAATGTTGGAATGTCCAATTTTTAGGCCTATACATTGTGATGTTTCCATTACATCACATTGATGTTGTGGTATTGCCATGATAAATTGGTACAACCATTTATATCTTATTCTAAAGGATTATCACTTTAGGCACCATCCATGTTAGCCAATGGTCATCCACAGGTAGCCACTCCACAATGCAGCAGTTTCATTACACCCAGTCCTTTATCATGGTCTGTGTGTAAACGCCCCAAATAAGTTTACAAACTGCCTTATTCTACTAGAGACCAGCATGTCTCACCTGTGCCAGGGTATATTCCAATGTTTGGGACTCTACTTAAACTTTAATTATAAGGGAACTCTCTAATTCCAGATACGTGACTCTATAACAATTTTCTGCATGAAATTTTATTTTAATGTGACCAAGAGAAATAGAAATATTTGAACTGTCTTTTAATTAGCTATAGTGCCTTTAAAAAACAAGAACTTGAAAAGATCTTGAGGACTGGGTAATATAAGAAATGAGCACATATATTAATAAATTTTACATTAATTTTTTGTTTTCTCTGATTTATATTTCAATTAATCAATATATTATGTAAGTTATGCAAGTGAAATGCAGAAAAACTAGAAAATATAGGTATAAAACTCCCCATGCCAAGATAGGCATTAGGTTAACATTCTGGGATGTATGCCTCCAGAATTTCTTGCTTTGGCATTCAGATATGTTTATCTTCTATTCATTTTTTATGTCAGTAAAGAATAACACCATAAACTCAGTAGATGAAGCCAAAAACTTGAATCATCTTTGAGTCTCTTCTCTTTTTTTTTCACTGCTTGCTTCCATGCTATCAGAAAACACAATATCTATAACAGAGGCCAAAATAGTCATTTTATCTCCACTACTACTACTCTGGTTCTGGACACCTTCCCTGTGGTAGGTGGTAGATACCTACACTAATCACTTAACTCGTCTTCCTGTGACTACTGCTGAATCTTGCCTTTCATTCTCCACAATGTAGAGAGAACAATATTTTAAAATTCAAGATCATATCATGTCATCTCCTGCCTAAAATGCTGCAACAGGTTTCCATTGCACTTAGAAGTGAAACACATTGGCTAATGGGATCTACTTTTTTCCTTCAGTCTCCAATCTCATTCCCTACCCCTTTCCCAACAAATTCTAGGTACCATTGGATATCCTTTTATTCTTAGAATAATGAAAATACTTCATAACCACAGGTCTTTCACTTGCTCTACCTTTGAGGTATAACATTTCTGCCACACATTTACCCAACTGCCTCATTCTTGTCACTCTGATCTCATTTCAAATGCAGCTCCCTCAAGGAGACTTTCCTTGATCAATCTATTTAGCCAGCCCCTTTTTCCTTCCTCCTCTACCGGCTTCCCTATCTCACTAACTCAAGAATTCTCTCTTGCTTGCCCTAGCTCACTTTCTCCTGAGCATTTAGCACCATCTCAAATTATTATTGTTTTTTCATTAAAGTATAGAGGTTAAAGCACAAACTCTAGAGCCCAGCTACCTGTATTCTAATCCCAATTACACTAGATTGGTGACTTGGGAAAAGATTCAACCATTTTGCACTTCAGTTTCCTCATCTGTAAAGTGATATTAAAGATAGCATCGAAGTCCTAAACTGTTATAATGATTAACTGAGTTAATAATTGTTACATAAGTGAATCTGTGCTTAGCCATAGTAAATGCAATTTAACTGTCCAATAGAAATAAAAATGATGCTAAGGGAATTCACTATCACCAGGCCAGCCTCACAAAATATCCTCAAGGGAGTTCTAAACATGGGAATGAAAGAATGATATCTGTCACCACAAAAAATTTGAGTACATAGTCAACAGACCATATAAAACAACTATACAACAGAAACTACAAAGCAGCTAGCTAACAGTTTCACAATAGGATGAAAAACTCACAGATAAATATTAACCTTGAATGTAAATGGCCTAAATGTCCCTACTTAAAAGGTACAGGGTGGTAAGTTGAATTAAAAAAATCAAGATCTGGCCGGGAGCGGTGGCTCATGCCTGTAATCCCAGCACTTTGGGAGGCCGAGGCGGGTGGATCACGAGATCAGGAGATCGAGACCATCCTGGCTAACATGGTGAAACACTGTCTCTATTAATAATACAAAAAAATTAGCTGGGCATGGTGGCGGGCGCCTGTAGTCCCAGCTACTCGGGAGGCTGAGGCAGGAGAATGGCGTGAACTCGGGAGGCGGAGCTTGCAGTGAGCCAAGATCATGCCACTGCACTCCAGCCTGGGTGACAGAGAAAGACTCCATCTCAAAAAAAAAATAAAAAAAATAAAAAATCAAGATCCATTTGTCTGCTGTCTTTAAGATACCCATCTCACATGTAGTGACAACCCAAGACTCAGAGTAAAGCATTATAGAAAGATTTACCATGCAAACAGAAAACAAAAAAGAGGAAGGGCCACTATTCTTAGATGACTAAAAAATAACAAACTTTAAACAAAAAAAAAAAAAAAAAACAGTAAAAAAGGACAAAGAATGGTATTATATAATGATAAATGTTTTAATTCAGGAAGAAGACTTAACTATCCCAAACATATACACACCCCAAATTAGAACACCAAGATTCATAAAACAAGTATTTCTAGTTCTACAAAAAGATGTAGGCAGGGACATAATTATAGAGGAGAAGTCCACACCCCGCAGACAATATTAGACAAATAATCAAGGTAGAAAACTAACAACAAAAATCCTGGACTTACGTTCAACATTTAACAAATTGGACATAATAGACATCTACAGAATACTCCACCCAATAAGCACAGAATATACATTCTTACGTGCACATGGAACATACTCTAAGATTGAGCACATGCTTGCCTGTAAAGCAAGTCGCAATAAATTCAAAATAATTGAATCATCCCAACCATACTCTCAGACCGTAGTGGAACTAAAATAGAAATCAATAGCTAGAAGATATCTCAAAACCATACAATTACATGGAAATTTAAAAATGTGTTTCTGAATGACTCTTGGATAAAAATTCAATTAAGGCAGATATCAAAAAATTCTTTGAAATAAGTGAAAAAGGAGACATAGCATATCAAAATATTTGGGATGCAAAAAAGTAGTATTAAGAGGAAAGTTTATAGCTCTGAACACCTAAAACAAGAAGTTAGAAATAACTCAAATTAACTATCTAATATTACACCTAGAAGAACTAGAAAATAATAACAAACTAACCCCAAAGCTAGGAAAAGAAAAGAAATAACTAATATCAGAGCAGAAGTGAATGGTATCAAGACAATGAAAATCAATACAATAAGTTAACCAAACCAAAAATTTCTTTGGAAAGTATAAACAAGATTGATAGATGACTAGCTAGATTGACAAAAAAAGAGAAAAAAATCCAAATAAGCACAATCAGAAATGACAAATGTGAGATTCCAACTGATCCCACATAAATACAAAAGATAATCAGAGACTATTATGAACACCTCTATGCAAAGAAACTAAAATATCTACATAAAATGGATAAATTCCTGGAAATGCACAACCTCACAAGATTAAATCAGGAAGAAATTGAAACCCTGAACACACCAATATTGAGCTCAAAATGGAATCAATCATAAGAAACCTCACAATTAAAAAAATCCCTAGACCAGATGGATTCACAGCTGAATTCTATAAGACATACAGAGAAGAGCTGGTACCAATTCTACTGAAAATATTCAAAAAAAAAAAGAGAAAAATCCAGGAGGAGGCAAAGACACAAGGATAAAAGAAAATTACAGGCCAATATTTCTGATGAACACAGATGCAAAAATCATCAACAGGCTCTTAGCAAACTGAAATCAGTAGCAAATTAATAAAGTTAATTCACCACATTCAAGTAGGCTTCATTCCTGGAATGCAAGGTTGGTTCAACAAACACAAATCAGTAAATGTGATTCACCACATATACAGAATTAAGAGCAAAAACCATATAATCATCTCAATAGATACAGAAAATCCTTTTGATAAAATCCAAAATCCCTTCATTGTTAAAAATCCACAATAAACTAACATAGAAAGAACATAACTCAAAATAATGACTCCCATCTATGACAAACCCACAGTTAACATACTGAACAGTCAAAAGCAGAAAACATTCCCCTTAAGAATGGGTACAAGATAATAATGTTTATTCTCACCATTCCTGTTCAACAGGGTGCTGGAAGTCCAAGCAAGAACAATCAGACAAGAGAAAGAAACAAAAGACATCCAAATAGAAAAAGCAAAAGTCAAATTCTCTCTCTTTACTTACAATATGATTTTGTATCTTAAAAACGCTAATAATTTTGCCAAAGGGCCCATAGACCTGAAAAACAACTTCAGTAAGTTTAGTATACAAAATCAATGCTCCAAAATCAGTAGCATCTCCATGCATCAATAATGTTCAAACAGTGCCAAATAAAGAAGGCAACCCCATTTACAATAGCCAAAAATAAAATAAAATAAAATAACTAAAAATGCATCTAACTTTCACATGCAAGGACAGAGTTAAGTAGTTGTGAAAGAGATTATATGTCCTCAAGTCAAAAATATTTACTTTTTTTTTTTTTTGAAACAGAGTCTCGCCTTGTCATCCAGGCAGGCTGGAGTGCAGTGGCGCAATCTAGGCTCACTGCAAGCTCCGCCTCCCGGGTTCACGCCATTCCCCTGCCTCAGCCTCCCAAGTAGCTGGGACTACAGGCGCCAGCCACCACGCCCAGCTAATTTTTTGTATTTTTAGTAAAGATGGGGTTTCACCATGTTAGCCAGGATGGTCTCGATCTCCTGACCTCATGATCCATCCACCTCGGCCTCCCAAAGTGCTGGGATTACAGGTGTGAGCCACTGCACCTGGCCAATATTTACTTTCTTGTCCACTACATTAAAAACTGGCCAGTCCCAATCTATATAATAATGATAAGAAATGAATGAAACTGGATTTTTTATTTATTTATTTATTTTTATTATATGTAAATATTTAGGTAATATAGGTTTTTATATTGGACATAGGTTGCTTATATTTTTAATTTGAAAACAGAGCAGAGATTAATATGCCAGCAGATAATTATTTGTGCACTTGCAAGATTGATGCTTTGGTCTAAATTCCCAGCAGTTGAGAAGTAGAAGAATATGGACTCTATTAAAGCCGTAGATACATAATGCCAAATAGCCCTCAAAATGCATCATTTCCCTTTACATTCCCATTATCACTTTTTGTGTGTATAATTTTTAACAACAAAAATGCACATCAATAGTCTTTTAAATTTTTTTCCAATATAAAGTTGAGTATATTTTATATTTTATTCTGCTCAGAATTAGAGTTTTGTCAACAAATTACCTGCTTATGGTTTTGATGATTCTTCACAGGTTAAAGATCATAGCGTAATTTAACTCTTCTCTCAACTTTATTGAATCTTTAGTCAAATCTATTCTAGTGTCTTTAATGTCATGATTAGAAAGTATTTCCTCCATCCAAGATTATGTAAATATTCATCTGTATATTATCCTAACAAATGCAGAATAGCTCCAGATTAATTTATCCCCAATTGACTACTCCAATGTCAACTTGTTAAATTATTCAAAACTTTCCTCCTTAATATTATACCAAATAATACTTATTTATATAGTATATGTTCACAGAACTTTCTTGGAATTTTCTCTCAGTCTCATTGATATAGTTCTAATAACATCTATTTTAAAACCCTGTAGCAAAGTGGAAGCATTTCAAATGTCCTTCAACAGGTAAATAGACAATTTAAGTGTGGTATATCTATACATGGAATATTATTCAGCCAGGATAAATGTTAATATTTATGCTACAAAATGGAGGAAACTTGAAGATATTATGCTAAGTGAAACTAGACATAAAAAGCTATATATTCTGTGATTCTATTTATAGAAAATATTTAAAAAGCCCATGGATCAATTGACACAAAAAGCAGATTAATAGTTGCCAGGGATAGGTGAGGAGAGAATCAGAGTGATTGCTTGATGGGCATGGGGTTTTATTTTGTGATAATAAGTGTTTGAAGACTAGATATAACTGGTAGTTGCAGAACATTATGAATGTATTATATACCACCGAATCATATACTTTGAAATGGTTAATTTTATTTTGTGTTAATTGAATAAATTTATGCTGTATTATTTTTTCAATTAATTAATTGAAAAAACCTGTAGTACAGTTATAAACATATATTATAGCCCACATATAGTTGGGCAAGTTCATGGTTTATTGTCTGTATTTGAAAAGTAACTGAATTAAAAAAGTGTTCTGTTTTTATTAAATCCTGAGTTAAGTGGTAACAATAATGTTCCCTACAATATTGTCTTCATTGGGATGTTCTTTTCTGTCTCTCAAAATGTTTTTTAATTTCTTCATATAGGTTTTGCATATTTATTCATATATGTATTATGAGATACTCTTTCAATTTGGATATTTTGAATTTTTTTCTTTTATCTTTATTTTTTAACATTTTTAATTTTATGGGTACATAGTAGGTGTATATGTTTCTGGGGTACATGAGATATTTTGATACAGATATATGATGCATAATAATCACAACAGTGTATATGGAATATCTGTTACCCCAAGTGTTTACCATTTTTTCTGTTAAAAAATTTCTGTTATACCCTTTTAGTTATTTTTAAATGTATAATAAATTGTTGTTTACTGTAATCACCTTATTATGGTACAAAATACTAGCCCTTATTAATTTTCTCTAACTATACTTTTGTACCCATTAACCATTCTCACTCCCCAGTGACCCACCACTACTTCCTTCCCAGCCTCTGCTAACCATCATTCTACTCTCTTATCTCCATGAGTTTAATTGTTTGAATTTTTAGCTCTCACAAATTAGAGCATGCAAATTTTGTCTTTCTGTGCCTGGCTTATTTCACTTAACATAATGTTCTCCAGTTCTATCCAAGTTATTGTGAATGACAGGAACTCACTCTTTTTTATGACTGAATGGTACTCCATTGTGTATATGTGCCACATTTCCTTTATTAATTCATCTGTTGATGGACACTTAGGTTGCTTCCAAATCTTGACTATTGTGAATAGTGTTGCAGTAAACACGGGAGTGCAGATATCTCTTTGATATACTGATTTCCTTTGTTTTGTGTATATACCTATCAGTGGATGGCTGAATCATATGGTAATACTATTTTTAGATTTTTGAGGACACTCCATACTGTTCTCCATAGTAGCTGTACTAATTTACACTACCATCAACAGTGTATGAGGGTTCACGTTTCTCTACATCTTTGTCAGTATTCATTATTGCCTGTGTTTTGGATAAAAGCCATTTTAACAGGGGTGAGATGATATCTCAATGTAGTTTTGATTTGCATTTTCTGGTAATCAGTGATGTTGAGCATCTTTCCTTATACCAGTTTGTCATTCATATATCTTCTTTACAGAAATGTATATTTAGATATTTTGCCCATTTTTAAAATCAGATTGTTAGATCTTTTAATTTTCTATTGAGTTGTTTGAGCTCCTTATACATTCTGCTTCTTACTCTGTTGTCAGGTGGTAGTGATATGGTCAGGCTCTGTGTCACCACCCAAATCTCATCTTGAATTGTAATCCAAATTGTATTCACCATGTGTTGGGAGAGGGACCTCGTGGGAAGTAATTAGATCTTGGGAGCAGTTCTCCCATGCTCTTCTCATGATAGTGAGTGAGTTCTCACATGATCTGATGGATTTATAAGAGGCTTATTCCCCATTTGCTCTGCACTTCTCTCTCCTCCCACCATGTGAAAAGGATGTGTTTGCTTCCCCTTCCATCATGATTGTAAGTTTCCTGAGGCCTCCCTAGTCATGCAGAAAGGTGAGTTAATTAAGCCTCTTCCTTCTATAAATTACCCGGTCTTGGGCAGTTCTTTATAGCAGTGTGAGAACGGACTAATACAGTAAATCGGTACAAGAAGTGGGTTGCTGCTATAAAGATACCTGAACATGTGGAAGCGACTTTGGAACTAGGTAACAGTAAGAGGATGGAACAGTTTGGTGGGCTCAGAAGAAGATAGAAAAATGTGGGAAAGTTTGGAACTCCCTTTGGACTTAGAGGGCTCAGAAGACAGAAAGATGTGAGAAAGTTTGGAACTTCCTAGAGACTTGTTGAATGGCTTTGACTAAAATGCTGACAGTGTTATGAACAATGTAGTCTGTGTTGAGGTGGTCTCAGAGGGAGATGAGTAACTTTTTGGGAATTGGAGCAAAGATGACTATTGCTATGCTTTAGCAAAGAGATTGGCAGCATTTTGCCCCTGCCCTAGAGACCTATGGAACTTGAGAGAGATAATTTTGGGTACCTGGTGGAAAAAATTTCTAAGCAGCAAAGCATTCAACAGGAAGCAAAGCAAAAAAGTTTGGAAAATTTGCAGCCTGATAATATGATAAAACAACAAAAACCCATTTTCTGGGGAGAAATTCAAGCCAGCTGCAGAAATTTGCATGAGGAGCCGAATGTTAATCACTGAAACAATGGGGAAAATTTTCCCAAGGCATGTGAGAGACCTTCACAGCAGCCCCTCCCATCATAGGCCCAGAGCCCTAGGAGGGAAAAATGGTTTCCTGGGCTGGGCCCAGGCCTCTGCTGTTCTGTGCAGACCTAGGACATGGTGCCCTGTATCCCAGCTGCTTCAGTTCCAGCCATGGCTAAAATGGGCCAAAGTACAGCTTGGGCCATTGCTTCACAGGGTGCAAGCCCCAAGCCTTGGTAGCTTCCACGTGGTGTTTGTCCTGTGGGTGCACAGAAGACAAGGATTGAGGTTTGGGAACTTCTGTCTAGATTTCAGAAGATGTATAGAAATGCCTGGATGTCCAGGCAGTAGTTTGCTGCAGGAGCAAGGCCTTCATGGAGAAACTCTGCTAAGGCAGTGCAGAAGGGAAAGGTGAGTTCAGAGTCCCCACACTGAGTCCCCACTAAGGAATAGCATAGTGAATCTGTAAGAAGAAAGCTACCATTCTCCAGATCCTAGAACGGTAGATCCACTGACAGCTTCCAGTGAGTGCCTAGAAAAGCCACAGGTACTCAATGCCAGTGCATGAAAACAGCTGGGAGGGGGGGTTGTAACCTGCAAAGCCACAGGAGTGGAGCTGCCCAAGGCCATGGGAGCCCACCTCTTCCATCAGTGTGACCTGGATGTGAGTCAAAGGAGGTCAGTTTGGAACTTTAAGATTGAATGACCACCTCGCTAGATTTTGGACTTGCATGGGGCCTGTAGCCCCTTTATTTTCTCCAATTTCTCCAATTTGGAATGGGTGCATTGATCCAGTACCTATACCCTCATTATATCTTGAAATTAACTAATTTCCTTTTGATTTTACAGGCTCATAGGCAGAAGGAAATGTCTTGTCTCAGATGAGACTATGGACTTGGAATTTGGGGTTAATACTGAAGTGAGTTAAGAAGTTGAGGAACTGTTGGGAAGGTATAATTGTGTTTTGAAATGTGAGAAACATGAGGTTTGGGAGGGACCAGGGACAGAATGATATGGTCTGGCTCTGCATCCCCATCAAAATCTCATCTTGAATTGTAATCGGAATTGCAATCCCCATGTGTTGGGGAAGAGACCTTGTGGGTGGTGATTCTATCATAGGGGCAGTTCCCCCATGCTGTTATTACAATAGTGAGTTCTCACAAGATCTGATGGTTTTATAAGGGGCTTCTCTGCCTTCACTCTGCACTCCTATCTCCTGCCACCATATGAAAAAGCATGTGTTTGCTTCCCTTTCCACCATGATTGTAAGTTTCCTGAGACCTCCCTAAACATGTGAAACTGCAAGTCAATTAAACCTTTTTCCTTTATCAGTTACCCAGTCTCGGGCAGTTCTTTATAGCAGCATGAGAACAGACTAATGTTGATAGTTTGCAAATGCTTTCTGTCATTCTGTGTGTTTCTTCTTCACTTTGATTATTGTTTCCTTTGATGTGCGGAATTTTTTTTAACTTGATATGATACTATTTGTTCATTTTTGCTCTGGTTGGGGATATTTTCTCTGGTTGGGGATATAAGGCTTTTGGGGTATATTACTCAAGAAATATTTGCCCACACCAATGTCCTAGAGAGTTTTCTCAGGGTTTTACTTGAGTAGTTTCATAGTTTGAGATCTTAGATTTAAGTCTTTAATCCATGTTGGTTTGATTTTTGTATATGGCAAGAGATAGAAGTCTAGTTTTGTTCTACTGCATATGGATATCAGTATTTCTAGCACCATTTACTGAAGAGACTGTTCTTTCCCCAGTGTATGTTCTTGACATCTTTGTCAAAAATGAGTTCATGGTAGATGTATGGATTTACTTCTGTGATCTTTATTCTGTTCAATTGGTCTATGTATCTGTTTTTATGCAGGTAACATACTGCTTTGGTTACAATAGCTCTGTAATATAATTTTTGATAAGGTGATGTGATTCCTCCAGTTTTGTTCCTTTTGCTTAGGATGATGTTTGCTATTATAGGTCTTTTGTGGGTCCATATACATTTAGGATTCTTTTTTTCTATTTCTCTGAAGAATTTCATTGGTGTTTTGGTAGAGATTGCATTGAATCTGGAAATTGCTTTGGGTACCATGCACATTTTAACAATATTTATTCTTCCAAACCATGAATGTGGAGTATCTTACCACTTTTTGGTGTCTTTTTCAATTTCTTGCATAAATGTTTTATAGTTTCCATTGTACAGATTTTTCATTTCTTTGCATCAGTTTATTTTTAAGCATTTGATTTTATTTGTAGCTATTGTAAATGAGAATACTTTCTTGATTTCTTTTTCAGATTGTTATCTGTTGACAAATAAAGTTTTACTCACTTTGTATGTTGATTTTGTATCCTGCAACTTCACTGAATTATTTATCAGTTATAATAGTTTTTTTCATGAAATCTTTTGGTTTTTCTGTGTATTATCAAATTATTCACAAACAACGATAATTTGACTTCTTCCTTTCCAGTTTGGATGCCCTTAATTTTTAATATTTTCTGATAACACTAGCTGGGACTAATAGTACTATGTGAATTACAGTGGTGAAAGTGGGCATCCTTTTCATGTTCCAGATCTTAGAGGAAAGACTTTTAGTATTTTCTCCATTCAGTATGATACTAGCTGTGGGTCTGTCATATGTGGCTTTTATTGTGTTCAAGTATGTTCCATTTCCAGTCTTTTAAAGGTTTTTATCATGAAGGCATGTTGAATTTTACCAACTGATTTTTTAGCATCAGTTGAAATGATCATATGTTTTTTTCCTTCTTTCTGTTAATACAATGTATCACACTGATTGATTTGCATATGATGAATCATCCTTGCATCCCTGAGATAAATCCCACTTGGTCATAGTGAATGATCCTTTCAATATGTTGTTGAATTTGGTTTGTCAGTGTTTTATTGAGGATTTTTGCATCAGTGTTCACAAAGGATATTGGCCTGTTTCTTTTTGTGGTGTCTCCTTTTCTGACTTTGGTATCAGTGTAATAATGGTCATGTAGAATGAATTTGGGTGGGGTAGAAGTTTGGAATGAGTTTGTAGGTGTTCCTGCTCCTCTATCATTTAGAATAGTTTGAGTAGGATTGGTATTAGTTTTTCTTTAAGTGTTTGGTAAAATTCATCAGTGAAACCACCAGGTCCCAAGTTTTTCTTGGCCAGGAGGCTTGTTATTATATCTTTAATCACATTAATTGTTATTGGTCTATGCAGGTTCTAGATTTCTTTGTGGTTCTCTTGGTAGGTTGTATGGGTCCAGGAAATTATCCATTTTTTCTAGGCTTTTCAATTTATGAGTGTACAGTTTCACATACCATTCTCTGATGATCCTTTGAATTTCTTCAGTATCATTTGTAATGTCTCCTTTATTTCTGTTTTATTTATTTAGATCGTCCCTCTTTATTTATCAGTCTGGCTAAAGGTTTGTCAATTCTGTTTATCTTTCCATTAAAAAACTTTTTATTTTGTTTATATTTTGTATTGCTTTTCCCCTTTCAATTTTGCTTCTGCTCTTATCATTTTATTTCTTTTTTTTCTACAAGAAGAAATGGTTTGGGTTTGGTTTGCTCCTGTATTTTTAATTATTTAAAAAGCATTATTAAGTTGTTTATTGGAAGTTTTACTACCTTGTTGATGTAGGCACTTATTGCTATAAACTTTTCTCATGGTAATAAATGCATTGAATCACATGGATTTTGGTATGTTGCATTTTCATTTTTATTGTTTCAATAAATTTTTCCATTTTCTTCTTAATTTATTCATTGACTTATTGGTCATTTAGGAGCATATGGTTTACTTTCTGTGTGTTTGTATACTTTTTAAAGTTTGTCATATTATTTCTAGTTTTATTTTATTGTGGTCAGAGAAGATACTTGATATGATTTCATTTTTTTCTGAATTTCCTAAGACTTGTTTTATGGCTGAAGATGTGGTCTTTCCTTGAAACTGATCTATGTGATGATGAAAAGTATGTATATTCCTCAGCTAATGAATAAAACCTTCTGTAAATATCTTTTAGTTTCATTTGGTCTATAGTGCAGATTATGTCTGAGGTTTCTTTATTGGCTTTCTGTCTGAATGATCTGTCAAATGCTGAAAGGGGGGTGTCAATGTTTCCAGCTATTATTGTATTTGTATTTATCTATCTTTAGCTCTAACAATATTTGCTTTATATATCTGGGTGATCCATTGTTGGAGGCATATACATTTAAAATTGTTATACTATTTTGCTGAATTGACACCTTTGTTATTACATAATTACCTCCTTTGTCTTTTTTATAGTTTTTAATCTTGAAATCTATTTTGTTAAATATAGCTACTCCTGCTATTTTTGGGGCTTCCATTTGCATAAAATATTTTTTATTTTATTTATTTATTTTCTGTCTATGTGTGTTTTTATAGGTGAAGTATGCTTTCGGTAGGAAACAGATTATAGATTCTTGTTTTCTTTTTTTTTTCTCCATCCAGCCACTCTGTGTCTTTTGATTGGAGAGTTTAGTCCATTTACATTCAATGCTATAATTGGTAAGTAAGGACTTACCACTGCCACTTTGTGTTTCTGGTTGTTTTCTGGCTCCTCCTTCCCTCCCTCCTTTCCTCTTTTCCTCCCCCCTTCTCCTTCCCTCCCCTTCCCTCCCTTCCCTTCCTTTCCTTTGAAGATAATTTTCTCTGGTCATATGTGTTACTTTCTTGCTTGTTTTATTTTTTGTGTATCTCTTGTAGGTTTTTTATTTGAATTTACCATGAGGTTTGCAGAAAATATCTTAAAGCCTTTAATTAAAAAAATGATGACCACTCAACACTAATTGTAAAAGCAGGCAAACAAAATAATACATGTGTCAAAGAGAAATCTAATACATACTCTACATTTTAACTTTATCACCATAACTTTTCAAGTTTTTATTGTTTCTATGTATATCTTTTTATATAGTCTGAGTCTTAAAAAGTTGTATAGTTATTTTTTTCATCAGTTCTTCTTTTTCTTCTTATAATCAAGACATAAGTAGGTTATACACCACAATTACAGTGTTATAGTATTCTGTATTTGTCTATGTACTTTCTATTACCAGTGAGTTTTGTACCTTTAGATGATTGTCTATTGCGTGTTATCTTCTTTTTTTTTTTTTTTTTTTTTTTTTTAACAGACTGAAGAACTCCCTTTAGCATTTCTTGTAGGACAGTTCTGGTATTAATGAAATCCCTAAAGTTTTATTTGTCTGGGAAAGTCTTCATTTCCCTCTCATGTTTGAAAGTTATTTTTGCTGGATATACTATTCTGGGATAAAATTTGTTTTCATTTTCCTTAACACTTCAAATATTTCAAACTTTCTCTCTCCTGGCCTATGAGGTTTCCACTGAGAAGTCTGCTGTCAGATCTATTGGAGCTCCTTTGTATGTTTTTTTTTTTTTCTTGCTGCTTTTAGGATCTTTTCTTTATTTTTGACCTTTGGGAGTTTGATTATTAAATGATTTGAGGTAGTGTTATTTGGGCTAAATCTGTTTGGTGTTCTATAATATTCTTGTATGTGAATATTGATATCCTTCTATAGGTTTGGGAATTTTTTTGTTATTATCCCTTTGAATAAACTTTCTAACCCCATCTCTCCACCTCCTCCTTAAGGCCAATGACTCTTAGATTTGCTTTTTTCAGACTATTTTCTACATCTTATCAGTGTGTTTCATTCCTTTTTATTTAATTTTTTTTTTCTTCTCTGACTGCATATTTTCAAGTGGCTTGTATTCAAGATCAGCAGTTCTTTCTTCTGCTTGATCAATTCTGCTGTTAAGAGACTCTGATATATCTTTAGTATATACATTGCATTTTTCAGCTGTAGAATTTTAGCTTGATTTTTAAAAATTTTTCTAATCACTTTGTTAAATTTATCTGATATGGTTATGAATTCCTTCTCTGTGTTATGTTGGATTTCATTATGCTCCTTTAAAACAGCTATTTTGAATTATCTGCCTGAAAGGTAACACATCTCTGTCACTTCATGTATCAATTCATTCTCACACTGCTATAAAGAAATATTTGAACTGCATAATTTATAAAGAAAAGGGGTTTAATTGGCTTATGGTTCTTCAGGCTCTATAGAAAGCATAGCTGGAGAGGCCTAGG
This sequence comes from Homo sapiens, assembly GCF_000001405.40. Lineage (NCBI taxonomy): Eukaryota > Metazoa > Chordata > Mammalia > Primates > Hominidae > Homo > Homo sapiens. Next base: position 40,765,374 of record NC_000011.10, on the reverse strand, counting down.
GAAACTTACAATTATGGGAGAAGGTGGAAGGTAAGCAGGCACATCTTACATGGCTGGAGAAGAAGAAAGAGAGAGGGGAGAGGTATTACACACTTTTGAACAATCACAACTTGTGATAACTCACAATTACAAGAGTGGCACCAATGGTGAAATCTTCCCCCCATGATCTAATCACTTCCCACCAAGCCCCACCTCCAACACTGGAAATTACAACTTGATATGAGATTTGGGTGGGGATACAGAACTAAACCATATCACTTTGCAGCTGGTCACTGGTCCCTTTTTTGTTTGTTTGGCGAAGTCGTGTTTTCCTGGATGGTCTTGCTGCTGGTGAATGTTTGTCAGTATCTGAGCACTGAAGAGTTGGATATTTAATATATTAATAGTTTGTACCTATCCTTCGTGGGAAGGCTTTCCAATAATTCAAATGGAATTGAGTGTTGTGACCTAAGGCTATGGTCACTGCAGCCATACCTGCATTAGGGGTTACCCCAAGACCAGTAATGCTGTAAGTCTTAAAGACTTGTAGACGTACTGCCTTGGTGATCTTGGGTAAAATCCAAGAGAATTTCCTGGATTACTAGGCAGAAATTCTTGTTCTCTTCCCATATGTTCCCCCCCTAAAAATGGAATTTCTCTCTCCTTGAGCTGCCTGGAGTAGGGAGTAGTGTCACAAGCACCCCTGTGGCCACCACCACTGGGACTGCACTGGGTCTCACCCAAGACCTGCAGTGACCAATGCCTAGCTACCACCAGTGTTTACTCAAGGCCCAAGGGCTCTACAGTCAGTAAGTGGAGAATACAGCCAGGCTTATCTCCTTAACTTCAAGGCGGTAAGCTCTCTCCCCAGCCAAAGGTGGATCCCAAAATGCTGTCTGGGAGCCAGAGCCTGGAGTCAGGAACATTGGTAATCTACTTAGTGTTCTATCTACTGTGGCTGAGCTGGCACACAAGCTGCAAGACAAAGTCCTTCCCACTCTTTCCTCTTCTGTACTCAAGAAGGAATCTTTCCCTGTGGACACCACTACCCTAGACCTACAGCAAGTACTGCCTGGCTACAGATGATGTTAATTCAAGGACCAAGGGCTCCTTAGTCAACAGAAAATGAATCATCCCAGGACTGGGTTGGGCCCTTCCCTTCAAGGCAACAGGTTTCCTTCTGTCCCACAGTTTGTCTAGAAATGTTATTCAGGAGCTAGGGCCTGGAATGATATCCTCAGGACTCAGCGCAGTGCCTTATTCTACTGTAGTTGAGCAGGTATTCAAGTTGCAAGACAAAGTCCTCCCCACTCTTCCTTCTCCTCTCCTCAAATGGAAGGAAAGAGTCTCTCCCCAAAGTGCAAGCTGCAATACCTGGGGTTGGAAGATGGGTGACACAAACATTCCCTTTCCTACCCCAGCTTGTGTCTCACTAGGTTGTATGCACTGCAATTCCACTGGCTCTGAGCCCAGTACAGAGCCAAGACTTGCCTAGGAATTGCAGCCCTGTGGCATAGACTGCCTTTCTTGTTTATTTAGAACTCCAAAATGCTTTAGCCCATGGTGGTTGGGCTAGCTGGAACTTAGGTTCTGACTACTGAAATGGACAACTTGTCTCTGGCTAGGGATGGTCTAAATGCTCCCCCCTTGAGCTCTGGCTCAATTCTATCCTATTTTGCTTTTCACTGTGACAGAGCAGCACTGAATTCCGATACAAAGTCCCACAATCACTGTGCTTTCCCTTACCTAAGCACACAGAATTCTCTGTGCCACACAGACACTGCTACAGTGTGGGGAAGGGGTGGTGTTGACAATTCAAGATTGTCTTTTCTACTCTTTTCAGTGCCTTTTTCCTTAATATAATGTTAGAACCAGGTAATGTGATCACTCACATGATTTTTGGTTATTATGAAAGTGCTTTTTTATGTGGATATTTGTTGAATTTGGTGTTCCTGTTGGGCAGCAGTGGGGATGATCACTAGAAAGTTCTATTCAGCCATCTTGCTCTGCCTCCTGCCCTATTTATATTTCTTGATAGTTATTCTTCTGCAGTTCACAAAAATGTTATTAGATTATCACTGTATGTACCATGATTTGTTCAGCACAGTCTAGGAGACACAGACCAGATGGGATGGATTTAAATATAAGCAGCACTAGCAGATATCACCCCCTTGTAGAGGCACTTGGAAGAAACCCAACACAAATGAACATCTAAGTTCCCACAATATATGCATACACACAACTTTAAACTAAAAAAGTGTATATATATGTATACACACACATACATAAATATATATATATACATATATATGTGTGTGTATACATATATATACATATATATATATTTGGAGAGAGGGATTTTTAAATGGCCATAATATTGCAAATGAGTATCTTTTCTTATTTTTGAGCCAAGCCCTTTTGCCCTGTTAATATGCAAAAATTTTTGAGATTGAATAATGCTTACCTGAAATTTAAATAGCCATGAAAACAAGCATCATATCATCTCTAAAATACAAATTTACAAGGGTATCAGTAGTAAATCTCGAAAGAGTTTGGTGTAGAAGCTTCAACAATGAGAGGAGGCAGGAGACAAAACAAACCTAATAAAATAAAACAGAGACTGGACTAGACTAAAAAAAATTTATATTTTAGGATACAGATAGGGAATGGGTAGCCAGACTACTCAAGCAAGTCAACTTCTCATATCTCCTTCTTTGGCAAAGACTGAGGTATGCATCTCATACAAAGAAATATCTCCCTTTTCATCAAAATACTACATTAGACTTGTTTTTATTCATGTTGGCATATACTATGACAGGGGAACAGACTCAAAAAAGAAAAATGAACCAGTGGCAACTCTGTTGTACCTCATAAAGTGCCTATTCCACACCATCAAGTTCTTTAAAATATTTACATCATGGCTATCACACTAGGTGCTCTAAATTAATATAACACAATGGATTATGTACAAGAACTCAACAGTGTCTTGAATCAGATCTCTCTGATTTGCCAGATGAGTGTGGTTGAAGGGTTTATTCTATCTGAAACCTTAATGGAAATAAAGGAATGACCCACATTTGCTAAGTGACTAAACTACAGTTAGATTCTCATGAAAAAGTATCACCAACCTTAGATAATTGTGTATATGCTGCAAGATATGACAAACCAAGCCATGCAACATGAGTGTTACATTTCTCCACAGGCCACGTCATTAGCCTACATCAGCAGGAATTTCTAAGAGGAGTAGCTTTCCATGGCTTGCTCCTGCTGCCCTCCACAAAACTGCAGAAAAAATAGCCAATTCCAGGAACAATCCCTTGGAAAATGTCCTTCTATGCTATAGAGAAGTCTGGCAATGACAGTGATCCACCACCATTAATTTAATCACTGTGTATTTTTGAGTACCTTATTGGTAACCTACAGAAAAATGGAATGAAGTTCTCAAGTATGACAAATAGATAAAATGGTAGTATACTGCTTGTCTCTGAGCGCCTTCTCCTACCAAAAATAGACATGTTTCTGCAAATCCTTCCAACTCTTACTCCCAGGAAGATTGTTATTTCAATGTGGAACCACATCAGTGTAACAGAAGACAGAACCGCAGTACTGTTCCCTGATGCCTCACCTTAAGATACAGCAGCTGACCAAAAACTGGCCTTTTATCATACATTGAAAAGGTGTGCTTGAAGATGTTCACTAGTCTAATGCTTAATGAAAATATAACTTGGATTTTCACTTGAAAATAATAATAATAAGTGTGTTTTGCTGCTTGCTCAGTATAATGTTTCATGTCTTCAGCAGTGTCTGAAAAAGCTGGTCAGTTTGCTGTCTTGATGAAGAGATCTAGGACCATATTTTCTTTTTAGCAATCCATGTGTAACCAATTTCGACATTCATTTCGACACCCAGCTTTAACAACAGAAAAGCTGAGGTTGCAGGTGAGGCTTTCTTCAGCTCAACCCCTTCACATATAAGATGAAAAACTCATTAAGTGGCTTGCTCAAGGTGAAACAGCTCATAACAAGCTTTTGCAATGTTTCAGGCTGTGTGCCAAGTTATTCCCATGCATTTTCCTATTTAACCCTGCAAAAGTATGATGCTGTTATAGTTAACACTGCAATTTTAAGATGATGATACAACCTTCATTATGTGGCATAAACTGCCCATGGACATGCAACTAGTAAATGGCAAGGCCTAAAATTCAAAGCAAGGTTTCTTGGAATCTAGATCAGGTGCGGCGAACACTATATGTTCTCCACTATAGCTCCTGTTAGTGGCAGATTCCAAACTAAAATTAAACATAATCATAAACATAATAATAACCAAGTGGGCTATGGGTTTAGATGTGCTTCATGTCATAAAATATTCCATCATGTCTTGATTATCTGTGCTTCCTCAAAGGGCAGATTACAGTTTTGGAGGCCAAGATGGGTGGATTGCTTGGGGTCAGGAGTTTGAGACCAGAAACTCTGTCTTTACAAAAAAAATATATAATATATATTTATATATATATATTATATATAATATACATACATATATACATATATGTGTGTGTATATATATATAAATATATGTGTGTGTGTGTGTGTGTGTGTATATATATATATACACACAAAAATTGGCCAGGTGTGCTGGCATGTGACTGTGGTCTCAGCTACACAGGAGGCTGAGGTAGAAGGATCACTTGAGCTCAAGAAGCAGAGGTTGCAGTGAGCCAAGATTGCACAACTACACTTCAGCCTGGGTGACAGAGTGAGACCCCATCTCAAAAAATAAAAATAAAAAAGGAAGTTTATTCCATGGACAATCCTAAATAATAAATGATCCAAAAGTAACTAACTTAGCCTTAAAATACACTTCTATACATAATATTGAGCATGAGTATGTGTTATACTCCAGCCAAATTATTTTGCAAAAATTTATTCTGGAATAAATGAGTAGTTTAGGATTTTGCAGTTGTCAGCAAACTTTTTTTTTTTTTTTGGTAAAGGACCAAATAGTAAATATTTTCAACTTTGTGAGCCATATGGTCTCCGTTGCAACTGCTCAGTTCTCCCTTTTTCGGCACGAAGAGCAGCAGCGATAGACAATACAGAAATGAATGAGTGTGGTTGTTTTATAATAAAATGTTATGGATACTGATATCTGAATTTCATAAAATTACTCAATGTCACAAAATATGATTTTTTGACAATTTTCAAACCTTCATTAATTTTTTTTTAATTTTTAGTTTATAAGTTATACAAAAACAGGCAGTGAACTAAATTGGACCCAGGAAACATAATTTGCTAACTCAGCTCTACTGCATCACAAATTATTTTCTATTTCACCTCAATCTGGAAAAGAAAAGGTTGGGGGGCAGAGTCACTTGTCAGATGAATGCCAGGGATTGGTCAAAACCGAATTACTCCTTTTTCCTTTTTTTTTTTTTTTGTTGTTGTTGTTTGTTTGTTTGTTTGAATTCTCTACTTCACCTAATTACCTTTTTCTCTATTTTTTTTTAACTCTCAGTGCATATAGGTTTTCTAATTCCCGACTTTCAACAAAGATAATTCTATTGGCTAGAAGTTCCCTTAGTGTAACTGCTTTAGGGAAGTTGGCTGATCAGGAAGGGGAAAAATGTATAAAGATTATATCAACATGATATCATTTTGATATTTTGTTCATGATATCGACAAGGAGTTGATAAATAGAATATGTGAATATGGGATACTTTGGACAAGAAGCAGAACTCCAGACCGTCTCACTCTAATTTCATTACTGGTGTAATAGGCTAGGGTACAATGTGGATATACTAGGTTGCTGCAAAAGTAACTGAGGTTTTTGCCATTGAAAGTAATGACAAAAACCGCAATTACTTTTGCACCAACCTAAAGCTTATTCACTCAAATATGTACTGAATATCTCCCATGTACTTAGAACTAGGCTAGGCCTTAAAGTTACAGTATTGAGCAAATCTTAAGATGGTATTTGATGTCACATGGTTTAGGGTATCTTGGATTGAAAATTTTTACTCACATAACCACTTAAATTATCACTGAGGTAAAAATGTGTGAAGGGAAAGTAAATGGTGTAAGAACATGTAACAGGGATATATATACATATATATGGAAGATGTATATATATAATATATATATGGAAGAAGTACATACATAATATATATAATATAATATATGGACGATTATATATATTATATATAATTATATATATTCCTCATATATGAGTGTAATGGTTAGTTTTACATATATATGGAAGATATATATATTACATACATAAGGAAGATATTTTTATATATATTATATATATAATAATATATGTAAACTGTGTCCACTATCTTCCATATAAATTGAAAATAACTAACAGGGTGCTACTTGAATGTATTTAAATGACAAAAGGTAAGGTCCAATTAAGAGGGAGAGACTGAATATATAAAAGAAAAAGAGATATTGATTATTAGTGGTTACTGAGCCTGTAATTTCTTTCTGTGATCCTGAATTTCATTACATTGTTTGTGGGGTAAGTGATTACCTGAATGGGTTTTGGTGTCAGACAAAGGGAATTTGATAAATAATTTTGGGTTCCAGATTTTGACAGTTGAACTGGGAGAATGAAAAATGAGCAAGGTCACAAAAATTTTATGGAAGAACCAGTTTGATGCTAGTTTCTATTTTATTGTATGCTCCCTGCATCTCAACCTTCCCACTCATCTCTAGTATCTTTAAACCTTTTACATCTTCCTTTTTCTAGAGTCTTAGAGATCCATAAAACTTTTCATCCAAGGTCTTCCAGGGATCTATCCTATTAAATGCACTATTTGCAAAACACTCATTACTAATATATTAATTCAAACAGAAAAACACACACAAAAACCGGAAACAAATCAACAAAACCTTTCTTTGAGCTCCTTTGGCCCTTAATTTGCCTGTCTTAAATCACAGAATCTATTTCTTCAGTCAATGAGGGCATTTAAATTATTTAAATCCTTAAAACAGGAACTTCATTTCTCCAGGCCCTAATTACCATGCACATAGCAGGAGGAGAGGACCCTCAAGTCATCCCTTGAGCAGTTAATACATAAATCCAAAGAATCCCAAAGACTCAGAGTCATTGATAAGGTCAACCATTGGTAGGAGGCATAATTTTTTAAAGCCAGTTACTCAATAGAACATAGCTCCTCGGAGACAAGCATCCCATATAATTTATCTCCTGCTCCAGAGCACCTTAGCATAGCATGGAATACAAAAGATGCCCAGGAAATGTTTGCTGAAGAAATGGTGACTGATGCTTGCTCTCTCAGCTTAGACTTGCATTTCGCGGGAGATATATTCCTCAACATAAACTTCCAACAACGTCACTGCATTGAAGCAACTTCCAATGTCATTCTCCAGATGTCATCATCAGCACATAATGCATCCTACTCTCAGAGCCTCAGGTGTAAAACTAAGGTTTCAGATGTATAAAATAACAAAAGTATCTTGTCAAGAAATGTTTTATCTTTCAGGCAACCAACACTTCTGACTCTAAATTCTTGACCTAGAATGTAACACCCAGAGTATTGCTATCTGTGTTTTTCAACAGGTGTGCTATTACCCTTTGGGACAGGAAAAATGTTTCTTTGTCTGGAACTTCTCTGCAAATTGCAAGATGTTTAGCATCCCTTGACCCTTCATTCTAATGCCCATAGCACCTCCTGCCCTAGTCATTGTAAGCAACAAAAAAGTGTCCTTGAAATCAAAGGAAACTTCTAGCAGAAGACAACAGCTTGCTGAGAAAAAAATAGTAAAAAAAAAAAAAAACTCAAAGTTTGCTTTGATATAGGCATACAACTTGGGAAGCAGGTAGATAATGAAAGAAATAACTAGCCAAAACACAAAACAAAACAAAAACAAATAAATAAGGCACAATTCCTTTTCCTTGGAAAGAGCATAGGAGCTATAGCAGTTATATTAACAGCAATAGATTCACTGAGCAATGTACTAATTTTTCTAGTAACATGAATATTCATCCATGGGTACTGATGGAAAGCCTCAGAGGCAAGTTTAAGAGTCAAAATGTAATAAGGATAATATAACATAGGCCATCTACAAGATGCCCATCCTAATTCCTAAGCTTTTATTAGCCAGAAGGGAGATTTTAGAAGAATGACACAAAGACTGTTATTTGGACTGTTTCCTAGTCTCATGACTGGGTGAAAACCATTCCATTCACTGTAAAATATCCAAAAGATTCATTCTCAACAGAAAGCAGGTAGAATAAATAAGTGACAAACAATAGATGTAGTATTGTCGAGTTGGCATGGGGAAAGGGGAAAGGTTTCAAGAACAGTCCTTGGAAGAGAGTATGAGAGCAAGAGTGACAAAAAGAAAGAGTATGAAATTTGCTTGTTTCATCAGCCAAGCAAAGGATGCTACTACGTTTAAAAGAAGGATAAGTGCTTCTGTGGGATGTCCACTTTTGCTCTCCAAACATGACAAAATCCTCAAGGAAATTTTGAAAAAAAAAAGTCTGACAGAAAGAAATGGGATGAAGCTAAAATCTAGGCTGTCCTCTAGCTTGAACTGTATATTCATTTATCCATTGGTTTTCAAATAGTTAGAATAAAGTCATGTTGATTTTTATAATCAGTTTCTAGGTAATATTTGTGAAAATGTTTTGAAAATGCATTGCTTAGGATGCTTCACATTAAATATTAGCAAAGTTAACAGTTTGCATTTTGAGGACGTTTTAATTGACCAGTTTAACTTTTGAGGTGATTTGTCAAAACTTGAAGGACAACAGCTTTGAAAATGTATCCAAATACCAAAGGATATTTTGCATATGGAGAAAATACCCAGCCCCAACTCCACCAGTCCACATAGCAGTTTCATTGAGGCAGTGTACTTGGATATAGGTTTCAAAGACTTTTTAAATCCCTGGCAGCCTGATATGGGAAGCTAAAGTGGATTTTGCTACAAAATGAAAATTAAGCTAACAAAATGCTGCATAGTAAATGCAATTAAACACAAGGTTTACCAAAGAGGTGAATCATTTTTAATTAGCAAAGCGACGGATTATGTAAAAGAATACTTTAAGAGTGCTAAAGGTTCTTGAAAATTATTTATAACCTTAAGTGATGTATTAGTTTGATAGGGCTGCCACAACAAAAGACCATAGACTAAATGGCTTAAATAATCAAAAATTTATTTTTCTCACAGTTCTGGAGGCTGGAAGTCCAAGATCAGAGTTCCAGCAGCGTTAGTTTCCTCTAAGTGCCATAAGGGAAGAATCTGTTCCAGGTCTGTCTCCTTGGCTTGCAAATGCTCATAATCTTGCTTCCTCTTCCCAGGATCTTCCCTTTAGGCACTTGCATGCCTGTTGTTTTTCTGTGTACCCAAATTTCTTCTTATCAGGAAGCCAGTCAGATTGAAACAGGCACCCCACAATGGCTTCATTTTAACTTAATCACATCTTTAAAGGCCGTATTGCTAAATACAGTCACATTCTGAAATACTGGGGGTTCAGACTAAAACAGATGAATTGCAGGAGAGGGGCAATTTAGCCCATAACAAATATAATTTAAAGATGTTTCCTCAAATCTTGTTTTTATTTTGCCTTATTGCTGCCAAATACGGTACTCTGAAATTTCCATGCCAGTTTCTCTAAAGTAGTTTCACAACTGCTCTCTCAATGTACTATGAATATTTGGACTGGAAGATTTCTTGTTGTCAGGAGCTCTTCGGTGCATTGTAAGACATTTAGCAGCACTCCTGGCCTCTATCCTCTAGATACCAGTAGCACTGCCCCTGCATCTATGACAACTTAATGTATCTCCAGGCATTGCCAAATGTCTGGTGGGATGCAAAATCTCCTGCACTAAAGTAAAGGAAATAAAAAATGGAGCAGCAATAAGGAGGCTATTAATAATGGAGCTTATTATGACTTTTCTTCAGATATACACCGCTCACCTTTAGCACTAGACTTCCCAGTGTTTGCATCCTGGCTGTAATGATTGCTAGCTGTATAGTTCGAGGCTAATTTCTGTACCTCTCTGTGTCTTACTTTTATTATCTGTAAAGTGGTGACAATTACTGTCTCTCTAGTACTCTCTTCCTAGAGTTTATGCCATAGTTAATAAGTAAAAGAGCTCATCATATTGCCTGGCATATAACTGAAATCTTTTAAAATAGTAGTGGCAGAAGTAGTATCAGTAGTAGTAGTTGTTGTAGTGGTACTTCGAGCAGTAGTAGAATCCTGAAACTGTTAATATTGTCCCTGATTCTAAAATGTGCAATGACTGTGAACTGAGCTAAACTTTATCATGCAAACTCAATAGATAAACTCTTTGACAATATTTGGGAATAGAGCTTCTCAATTTAAGATCTATGAATGTATGTCAGACTGGAAAATAAAGTCCCTGAAAACTGTGTGCAACATTTTAAGCATGTGTGAGCATGTAGATTTTCCTAAAGAAAGGACCATCGTTTTTAATTACATTCACCAAGGGACCTATATACCACAAAAATGTAAACAAGTGCTGCTTCACCAATATTGATGAATATGAAAACATAAAAATATAAAATTCAACAGCTGATCTTTTGGGGAAAAAATGTGAGCATGATAAACCATTAGCTAACTTAGTAAAAAAAAAGTAAAATTAAAACAAAATAAAATAGGCAAATTGAAATAAAACAAGAGGAAATTAAAAATGACTCTTAAGATACTGCTTTGTTAATATATATGCTAATAAAGAAATAATTATAAATAATGATATTATTATTGGTCACCACAGGGAGTATGGTGCATAAGCCCTGGTCTCTGGCTTTCCTTGTCTGCATCCTCTTCCAGAGTGTAGGCTTTATGGAAGCTACCTGGCTGATTAGCCTTAGGCTGCTGTCTGCACCTCCTCAACAAGACGCTGAACATAACCCTCTCTCTACGCTGGAGAACTGTGAGCCCCAGCTTAGGGGCCTAAATAGTTCCTAAGAGGTCACTCCTGAGGAGCAATTAGTCTGGGCTATGGTGTCTTAGTATATTGTCTACATAAAATAATCTGTCTGTTTATCACCTATCTACCTATCTACCTGTGAAGATTCCTATCTTCTTAAACACAAATAGAGTTGTATATTAATTACGGCATCATGCTTAGTGAAATATACCAGAAGCATCTCCATTAAAGTATTAGAGTCAGGATAGCCAGCATGTCCTTTATAGCCAATGGTGATGAAACATCAGTGAACAAAATTAGAGAAAAATACATAAATTATGAAAATTAAAAAGAGATATGTAAATGATCATTTTTTACAAATTAAATGATTATGTGGAAACCCAAAGAAAATCAACTGAAAAATTCTTGCAAATGATAATTCAGTGGTATTTTTAAATGAATAAGCAGAATGTGTGTGTGTATATATATATATACAGTGAATATATATACAGTGAATATATATATATTGTGTACACCATGTTTATATATACATATACACACATATTTTTTATCTTTTTATCATAGTCATTCTAACTCAGGTAAGATGATATCTCATTGTAGTTTCAATTTGCATTTCTCTAATGATTAATGATAAGAATTTTTTCATATACCTGCTGGTCATTTGAATGTGTTTTTGGAGAATTGTCTATTCGGGTTCTTGGTCCACTTTTACACATACTCACGTAACAATCAAAATGTGTAAAGAATATGACGCACTTTAGAATACCCAATAGGAAAAACAATTAAAAATTAAATCGAAATAAAATTATGTAGTATTCTAGGAAAATAAACTTTAAAAATGCTTCTGTGTTTGCAGTGAGCCCAGATCGCACCACTGCACTCCAGCCTGGGCAACAGAGCAAGACTCTGTCTCAAAAAAAAAAAAAAAAAAGTGCCTCTGTGAACTGAGTAGCACAGGGTATGAAAATGGGACTTTTCATTTTATACCACTCCATAATTTTGAATTTTACAATATAAGCATATATTGGTTTTTTATGTATTTTTTTTTTACTGGTACTTCATATTTTACATATATATGGTACATGTGAGTATTTCTTTACATAAACAAATTGTTCAATAATGATGTCAGGGTATTTGAGGGTATCCATCACCTTGAGTATTTATCATTTTGATGTGTTCAAGTCCTCTCTTATACTTCGAATTATACAGCATATTATTGCTAACTGTAGTCACCCTAATCGGCTATAAAGCATTCGAAGTAATTTCTTCTATTATCTCTGTAAGTTTGTACCTATTCACCAACCTCTCTCCATTTCCCCCTCCCATCCTTACACTCTTCCCAGCCTCTGATATATATATAATATTCTATTCTCTATCAACAACTCCGTCTCAAAAAAATAAAATAAAATAAAATAAAATTAAGAATGAGAACTTCTGGTACTTGTCTTTCAGTGCCTGACTTATTTGACTTAGCATAATGACCTCCAGTTCTATACATGTTACTGCCAATAAAATAATTCCATTCTTTTTTATGGCTAAATAGTATTCCACTGTGTATACCTACCACATTTTCTTTATACATTTATCCATTGACAGATACTTAGGTTGATTCCGTATGTTGGCTTTTGTGAATAGTGCTACAATTATCATGCAAGTGCAGGTATTCTTTAACATACCGACTTATTTTCCTTTGGATAAATTCCCAGTAGTGGCATTGCTGGATTGTATGGTAGTTCTATTTTAGTTTTTTGTGAAATCTCTATTCCGTTTTTTATAGTAGGTGTACTAATTTACAGTCCCACCAACAGTGTATAAGAGTTCCCTTTTTTCCACACCTTCACAAGCATCTGTTTTTTTTTGTTGTTGCTGTTTTGTTTTGTTTGTTTATTTTTAGTAATAGCCATTGTAACTCGGGTAAGATGATATCTCATTGTGGTTTTGATTTGCATTTCTCTTATGATAAATGATAAGTTTTTTTAATATACCTGTTGGTCATTTGTGTGTCTTCTTTTAAGGATTGTTTATTCAGGTTACTTGTCCACTTTTTAGTGTGATGATTTGTTTATATATTGTTGCATTCTTTGAGCTCCTTGTATATTCTGGATATTATTAGTTCCTTGTTGAATGAATAGTTTGCAGTATTTTCTTCCATTCTGTAGGTTATCTCTTTACTCTGTTGATTGTTTCCTTTGCTGTGTAGAATCTTTTTAACAGAATCCCATTTGTCTATTTTTGTGTCAGTCGTCTATACCTTTGAGGTCTTAGCATAAAATTTTTGCCTAAACCAACGTCTTGAAGTGTTTTCGCTATATTTGCTTCAACTAGCTTTACAGTTTAGAGTTTTAACATTAAGTCTTCTCAAACAATCTTGAGCTGATTTTTGTATATGGTGAGAGATAGGAGCCCAGTTTCTTTCTTCTGCACATGGACATCCAATTTTCCCATCACCATTTATTGAAAAGGGTGTCTTTTCTACAGTGTATGTTCTTGATGTATTTGTCAAAAATCAATTGGCTATAAATACATTGATTTATCTCTGGGTTCTCTGTTTGTTCCATTGCTCTGTGTGATTTTTACCATTAAAATCCTGTTTTTTGGTTACTGTAGCCTAGTAATATATTTTGAAATCAGATAGTGTGATACCTTTAGTTTTGTACTTTTTGCTCAAGATTGATTTGGCTATTTAGGCTCCTTTTTGGTTCCATGCATATTTTTGAATTGTATTTGTTTCTATTTCTGTGGAAAATAACATTGGTATTTTGATAAGGATTGGAGTGAATTTGTATATTGCTTTGGGCAGTATGATCGTTTTAATGAGATTCATTCTTCCAATTCATGAGCATGGGATGTGTTTTTATTTTTTTTACCTCTACAATTTCTTACATCAATGTTTTGTAGTTTTCCTTGTATGGATTGTCCACCTTCTTGGTTAAATGTATTCCTAGGTATTTCTTTTTTAGCTATTGTAAATGTGTCTTCTTGATTTATTTTATAGCTATTTCATTATTAGTGTTTACAAACATTACTGACTATTGTTAACTTTGTATCCTTCAACATTTCTGAATTTGCTTATCAGCTATAAGAGTTTTTTGGTGGAGTCTTTTGGTTTTTCTAAATATAAGATTATAGCAGCAGCAGAGGGGCAATTTGACTTTCTCTTTTCCAATTTGGATGCTTTCTGTTTCTTTCTCTAGCCTGATTTATCTGGCTAGGACATCAAGTACGATGTAGAATCAGAGTGGTAAAAGTGGTCATTCTTGTCTTGTTCCAATTCTTAGAGATAAGGCTTCCAACTTTTCCCCCTTGATTATGATGTTAACTATAGGTTTGTCATATATAGCCTTTATTATTTAAAAGTGTGTTCCTCTTATGTATAGATTAAGATTCTTTTTTTTCATAAAGGGAGGTGGAATTTGTCAATTGTGTTTTTCGGCATCTACTGATATAATCAACTGGTTTTTGTCCTTCATTCTATTGATGTGGTGTATCACATATATTGATTTGCATACATTAAACCATTTACAAACCATGATGTAAATACCACTTGTCATGGTGTATCATCTTTTCGATGTGCTGTAAATTTGGTTAATTAGTATTTTGTTGACAATTTTTATATCTTTGTTCAGCAGGGGTATTGGTCTCTACTTTTCTTTTTTTTTTTTTCTTTTTATTATACTTTAAGCTTTAGGGTACATGTGCACAACGTGCAGGTTTGTTACATATGTATACATGTGCCATGTTGGTGTGCTGCACCCATTAACTCGTCATTAACATTAGGTATATCTCCTAATGCTGTCCCTCCCCCCTCCCCCCACCCCACAACAGTCCCGATGTGTGATGTTCCTCTTCCTGTGTCCATGTGTTCTCACTGTTCAATTCCCACCTATGAGTGAGAACATGCGGTATTTGGTTTCTTGTCCTTGCAATAGTTTGCTGAGAATGATGGTTTCCAGCTTCATCCATGTCCCTACAAAGGACATGAACTCATCCTTTTTTATGGCTGCATAGGATTCCATGGTGTATATGTGCCACATTTTCTTAATCCAGTCTATCATTGTTAGTTTTCTTTTTCTTTTGTGTCCTTGTCTGCTTTTGTTATCAGGGTAATGCTGGCTTCATAGAATGAGTTAGGGAGAATTCCCTCCTCTTCAATTTTTTGGAATAGTTTTAGGATTGCTATTAGTTTTTCATTATATAGTTGGTAGAATCTAGCTGTGCCCATCTGGTCCTGTGGATTTTTGTTTGTTTTTGAGACAGGGTCTCACTCTGTCACCCAGATTGGGGTGCAGTGGCATGATCTCGGCTCACCACAATCTCCACCTCCTGGGTTCAAGTGATTCTCCTGCCTCAGCCTCCCAAATAGCTGGGATTACAGGTGCACACCACTACTGCCTAGGTAGTTTTTGTATTTTTAGTAGAGAGGGGTTTTCACCATGTTGGCCAGGCTGGTCACTGTGCTTTTCTTTGATGTAATACTTTTTCTCACTGATTCAATGTCGTTACTAATTATTGGTCTGTTCAGGTTTTATATTTCTTCTTAATTTTAGGTTGGTAGATTGTGTATTTCCAGGAATTTATTAATTTTTTATAGGTTTTCCAGTTTGTGAGCATATATTTGTTCATAATTGTCTCTGATGGTCTTCTGTATTTCCGTGGTATCAGTTTTGATGTCTCCTTGACATCAGTTGTGATGTTTCATTTCTGGTTTTGTTTATTTGGGTCTTCTCTCTTTGTGGTTACTTTAGCTAGTGATTTATTACTTTTGTTTACCTATTTGAAGAACCAACTTTCTATTTCATTGATCCTTTTTCCTTTTTTTTTTTAGTCTCTTTTACTTAGTTCTGCTCTGATTATTATTATTTCCTTCATTTGCTAATTTTGGCTTTGGTTTATTCTTGCTTTTCTAATTTATTGAAGTCCATCATTAGATTTTTTTGATATCTTTATAATTTTTTGATGTAGACATTTATTGCTATAAACTTCCTGCTTATTATAGGGTTTTTTTTTTTTTTTGTATCTCATAGGTTTTGGTATATTGTGTTTCCATCTTCATTTGTTTCAATTCTTTTTTATTTCCATCTTAACCTCTTTGTTGACCCAGTGGTTGTTCAGGAACATGTTCTTGAATTTCTATGTATTTGTATCATTTCCAAAATGCCTCTTGGTATTAATCTCATTTTATTCCATTGTGGTATGAAAAGACACTTGATATGATTTCACTTAAAGTAAATGTTGAATTTGTTTTGTGATCTAACATTCTGGTCTATCCTAGAGACTTTTCCACGTACTGATGAGAAGAATATGTATTCTGTAGTTGTTGAATAAAATGTTCTGTAAATAAATGTTAAGTTCACTTGGTCTAAATTCCAATTTAAATCTTGCTTTTCTTTGTTGATTTTCTTTCTAGATGATCTGTCTTACGTTGAATCTCCTACAATCATTCCATTGCAGTCGCTCTCTCTCTCTCTTTAGATGTAGTATTATTTGCTTTATACATCTGGGTGCTCTGGTTTTGGATGCACATATATTTAAGGTTTACATATCCTCTTGCTGCAGTGATCCCTTTTTAATTATATAATGATCTGTTTTTGTCTTTTACTACAGTTTTTTACTTAATGTCTGGTTTAATCAATATATGTATAGCTATTCTTGTTGGCAATTGACTTTCATTTGCCTGGAATATCTTTTTACATTCCTTTACTTTCAATCTATATGTGTCTTTATAGGTAAAGTGCGTTTCTAGTAGGCAGCATATAGTTAGATTAAGTTTTTTATCCCTTTGCCAATCTATGTCTTTTAAATGGAAAATTTAATCAATTTACATTCATAGTTATTTTTAGGTTTTGTTTCTGTCATATTGTCAATTGTTTTTTGGTTCTTTTGTATTTTCTTTGTTCCTTTCTTTTTATCTTATCATTTGTCATTGAGGTTTGGTGGTTTATGAAGTAGTACCATTTGAGTCCTTTCTCTTCCTCATTTGTGTGTTTGCTTTACCAGTTAGTTTTATACTTTCTAGTGTTTTGATGATGGTAAATGTCCTTTCGACTTAAGGTTTTTTACTCCCTTGAGCCTTTCTTGTAGGGCTAGTCTAGTGGAGATGAATTCCCTAAGCTTTTGCTTATCTAAGAAAGGCTATTTCTCCTTTATTTCTGAAGGATAATTTTGCTACATATAGTGTGCTCAGCTGGAAGTTTTTATTTTTCTTCTAGCACTTTAAATATATTATCCTATTCTTTGCTGACCTGAAAAGTTTCTCCTGAGAAAACTGCCGTTATTCTAACGGGGGTTCTTTTACAGGTCTCTAGGTCATTTCTCTTGTGGTTTTTAAAAATCTCTCTCTGTCTTTCACTTTAAACAGTTTGACTATATTATATGGTAAAGAAGACCTTTTGCATTTTATTTGTTTAGGGATCACAGAGCCTCCTGTAATGAGTGTCTAATGCTCTTGCTAGACTTGGGAAGTTTTCATCCATCCTATTTTTGTTAACTAGGTTTTATAATTCTTTCATTCTCTCTTTGCCTCTTGGGACTCTGATAATTTAAAGATTTGGTCACTTTATGATGTTTTGTATGTCACAAACACTTTGCTCACTCTTTTTTTCTTTTTGTCCAAGTGAGTTATTTCAAAAGAACTGTCTTCAAATTCTGAGTTTCTTTCTTCTGCTTTATCCAGTTTATTGTTGAAGCTTTGTCATGTATTTTGTTTTTCATTCAGTGAGTTCTTTATTTCCAGTATTTCTGTTTGATTCCTTTTTTATGATATCTTTTTCTTTAGTTAATTTCTCATTCATATCCTAAATTATTTTCTGATTTTTGTGTTGCTCTTAAGAATTATTTTGGTATCTCACTAGCTTTTTTAGAATAAATAATTTGAATTCTTTTTTCTAGAATCTTATAAATTTATTTTTTATTGTGCTCTGTTGCTGGAGAATTATCACGCTCCTTCGGTGGTGACATCATATTTTCTTTCTTTTTAATGTTTGAGGTGTCTTTATGTTTATATATATACATCTGGTGTAATAGTTGCTTTTTTCTATCTTTTAAATTATTTTTTCATAGGGGAGAGCTTTTTACTAGAGATTAATCTATGGTTTTGGTTGGGTAGTGCATGTTTGCTTTGATTCTGGGTATCTGCCATAGTGTAGCCTCTGTATTTGACTATATACAGCATCAGTGGTATCTATGATTTTCTGAATTGCTTAGCATGCACTTATGAGTGGGGGCTATGGCAAAGTTTTCCTCAGGACTGGTACTCCAGGTAGGCTGATCTTTGGGCCCCAGTGGTGGCAACAATGGGCCGAGCATGCCTGCCTTGGGCCCGATCTTTGGGCCCCAGTGGTGGCAACAATGGGCTGAGCATGCCTGCCTTGGGCCCTAGAACAGTGTATGGTGTACGCTGGCATCAGTGTTAGCTGGTAAAGGCAGGATGATTCACGAGCCACCAGGTGGCTTATTCAGATGCCAATAATAGCCACAATGGCCAGGCTAAAGGGAAGGCTCTCAGGCCCCTAGGCAGCTGGTGAGGCACGGGTGATAACAGTGGCAGTGGCAGGATGACCCTCTGGCTCCTGAGCAGTACACATTAACATTGGTCGTAACTGTGGTGAATTGAGTGGGCCAGTGTCCAGGCCCACAGGTGGGACATACAGATAGGCACCAGTTGTGGTATAGCAGCCAGGTAGGCAGGCCCAATCTTAGGAGGAGTGTTCAGTTCACCAAGAGGAGTGCTCAGGGGACCATGGTGATGGACTGGGCAGAGCAATCCCCAGGCCCTGATTGTATGGCCTGGGATGGAGCATACATAGCCTGGTCATTTAGGCTTTTACTCAGGTCCTCTGATGGTGTGTGGGGCACCAGCCATGTGAGAAAAGGGTGTGGTGATCTTCAAGCCACTAGCAGAATGCTCAGGTTAGGGGCAGCAATGGTTGTGCTGCTGCCCTGCCAAGAAGTGGGGCAGTGCTGACTAGGCAAATAAATTGAAACTGTGTACTCTACACGCACCTCTGCCCTAGTGGCACTAGAGCCTCAGCCCCTGTGCTCGAGCCTCAGCCTCAGTCCTAAAGCAGCAGCCTGTGCTTCGCTTGCTTCTCAGCCCCAGTGTTGCTAGTTTCTGGGAGAGTACACGGTGTGTTAGGGATGGGGCTCTAAAATGACATCTTGGTGTAGCTGTTCATGTCTAGTGTAGGAACCAGGGTGAGCTCCTTTCCTGAAGCGGTGCCGTTGCACAGTCTCCTGACAGCTCCTAGTGTTAGTTTTAGGGCCTGCAAAGGTTGAGGACTTCTCATGAGTCCATGGTGGAAACATGGACTACTAAGGGTCTCTCGCTTAGCCTTTCCCTGTGTTGGGGACCCTCTTTCAGCTCCCAGCCAATCCTGACTGATCAGGTTGCCTTGCTTCCTCCTCCTTCATTGCTTTAGTATTTGCAATCACTTTTCTGTTGAATTCCAGTGTTCTCTCTTGGCTGATCTATTTGAAGTGTGATTACCTACTAGTGAGTTTGTTTCTTCTTAGTGGAGGAGGCAAGTACAAAATGCATCTGGTCAGCCATTTTGAAGTCATATATTGCCTTTTTAAACTGCATAACTAAAATATATTTTAAAAGCATTATTCTTTTTGATTCATAACGCCAGATTCATAAAGTCCTGAATTAAATTTTCCTTCCAGGAACAATAGGTTTAACTGAGAGTGAGTCAGTTTCACACAAGTCAATGAGAACCACATATAATTTAAATGTGGTTAATATTAGCCAAATTATATATAATAAACAGTAAATATATTCATTGTATTTCTCATGTAAATATACATTATCTTCCTAGTAAAATATTGTGGAAAAAAATTTAGCAAAAAATATATTCAGAAATAGTGTTATATAGGCTGAATTATTCCCTTCTATATAGTTCAAATTATCATCTGCCATATGTCCCACCCAGAAGTTGTTTTATGCTAATTCAGTCGTTATTTAAATCTAGCCCTTATTACTATGCTTTAAGCAATTATCAGTTTATTTTAAGATTCACTTTAAGTCAAAATGTCTATCAAACGTTCTCATAGTATAATCATACCAATATACTTTGAAAATGTACCTTCCAAAATATATATTTTTAACTTTCTCTCTCATTGTCTGTCATTCTCTGTTTTGAAAACCACTCAATCCCCTTTTTTGGAGAAGAAGGTCTGCTATTTCTCAGTTCTCCCCTACCCTTTGGAAAGAACAGATAGTTCACCTCTTTTAGAGGGAAAAGTATTTTCCCGATGGAAGTGTAGGCTGAAAAAGAATAATCCGTGGTGTGTAAATATGAGCATGATAATGCTTTCTGCGTATCGCCATTAAACTTTTATCAGGACCATAAACAACTTAAGAGTTTTACTGCTTATGCATTCCATGTGCAATATGGTGATGGCTTACAGTAATACTTTACCATTTGCTTAGTGCTTTTATGTTTATTATTTTATGCAATGCCTTAATTTAAACAAACTTTGAGATGGATATTATTCTCATCATTTTATGAGAAAACAAAGACTTTGAGCAGCTATGCCTATGTTTATATGTTACTGTAGTTGGTAATCGATATACATCTACCTATTCTAAGTCATTTCCCTCAATAAGAAAACTTAAGTTAAGTTAACTTAAACCCTTCCAAAAAATTTTGTAGACAATACAGCCAAATGGTTAAGAACATGGACTTTGCTGTCAAATAGTTTTGGACTTACAGCATAGCATTGCCATTGATATAACCTTGGAAAGTTATTAAATGTTTTCATCCTCAGTTTCCTCATAGTAAGATGGGATCAGAATAACACCATGCATAGGGTTGTTTATTCATTCATCCCAGAAACATTTTTGAGGGTCACTAATGTGTCAAGCAGTATAGGATACTATGGTAAGCAAAATCAGATGGAATGGCTTCTCTCATGAAGTTCAAAGGCCAGTTGAGGCAGAAGATAATTGTTCGAATGATCACATTACTGTGTAAATTTGAGACCACTACAATTACAATGAAGTAGAGAAATTCTGGTTTCAGAGCTTCAAACACACCATCTTATCTGTTGGTCTTCACATTTACTGTTGCATCTGCCTGGAATGTTCTTGCCTTAAATATCTCCAAGAATTACTCTGTCCTCTCCATTCTTAATCTTTTCAGATGTCACCATTTTATAGAAGCACTTTTTTACTTATCTGTCTAAAATGACTCCCACACTTGTCTCTCATCTCTTATCCAGCTTTATTTTTCATTATTTTACTTGCTCCATCTGACACACTAAATATTTGTTTATTATGTGTCATCTATCTCCCATCATCAGAAAATAAAGTTCATGAAAGCCAGAACATTATCTGTTGTGTTTCCTTCCATATCCCTAGTGTACAGAAACAGAAGTGCCGGAACACGGTGAACACAAAGAAATGTACATACATAAGAATCTAAATAAATAATTAAACAGGTAAATTCGTTGGCAGAGATTTGGGGTTAGTGCAGGCTTTCCTGAGAAAATGATGCTTTATACAGAGGCAGAAGGAAAAATAGAAGTTACAATGCAAAGCTGTGTTGGATGAGCATTCCAGATAGAAGACATAATATACCCAGACTTGGAAAACAAGAGCACGTCTATCAAGTAACAGGTCCACAGCAAAGCTAGCACAGGAGTGAAGAGGACAATAGGGAAAAAATGAGAGTTGAAGGAGCTGGACCTTTCTGGACCTTGAAGGTCATATTTTCATACTGAAACAAGGAGTATTAAAAGAGGTTTTAGGAAAGAAAGAATTGTGACAGGCAAAAGATGTGGTTTGATTTTTAATTTAAAAGTCTCACTTTCACTAGACTGGAGGGTGAAGTTAGAAAGATAATGACCCTCCAAAAATGTCTACTTCTTAATTCCCAGAACCTGTGAATATGTTAGTTCACATGAATGAAGCCTCAGGCCTATATAAGCCTGTATCTTACAACCCTATAATATAGGTGGCCTCTATAAGCTGGAATAGGCAAGGAAAGAGATTTTCCCCTACGTTTTCAGAAGTGAATGCATCTCTGCTGACATCTTAATTTTAGCCCAATGAGATCCATTTTAGACCTCTGACCTTGAGAACTGTCCCATAATACATTTGTGTTGTTTTAAGCCAACAGCTTATGATAGTTTGTTACCGCAGCAAGAGAAAACTAATACAGAGGGGAGCATAAGAGAAATTGTTTTAAGAATGACATGAGCTTACAGTCATAACACACTTAGCAAAGTGCCTGGTCCTTTGCATTCATTAAATGCATGCTTTCACTGTTGATATCATTTTTAAGATTATTGATTTGACTAAGAAATTCATGTTCATTGAATACCAGGGAATATTCCTAATGTACCATTTTCATACTAAAAATGACATTCGTACAATATTTTTATCTTTACAAATTCTCACCAAAGAATCTAAGGGGCTTAATTGTCATTAAAGATCTTGACCTTTTCTACCTTTCCCAAGTTGTAGATTCAGATGAGCAGCACAGAAAGTTAAGTTACATTCTGTTTTGCATTTCCCTTTTTCTGATGCTGGTATGATATGTATGTCACTAGGCCCTACTGGTGACAGGCAGGAGTTTCTGGGGAAAGGAGCAGCCTACTCTGTACTCACATATTATAAAAATCCATAATTATGGTGGTTTTTATATTATCTCATTACAAAGAGGCTCAAAAACAAATGGTGATCACAAAATGTGTATCAATGTAGCACAAATCAGTGAACAGAATACCACTGTAAAGTAGAACAGAAAATGACAGATCCCAAGTACTAGATTATTAAAATATGAAATGAATAGATAAACAACTTCACTTTCTCTTTACTCCAAGGATTATAACCATCAGCTGCCAGGGTAATTATGCACATATAATGGCAAATGATCGTTTTCTTAGTTTCTCTGGAGCCCTTGAACTGCACAATCTATTAGGAATGCCATCTACTTGCTATTAATTTTCTCTTTTTTATGACATTTTTAACATCTGTAATCATTATTTAACAGACACAGGTGCAAAATGTGATTGAATGAAGAGCCATTGGTAGCTTTTGACAAAGGAAGCTGCCTTAACTACTTAGGAAACCAAGCCTTAATTAGGAAGTTGTAATGAATCAAAAGAAGGAATAAATAATAATTTGAGACATCCTATCTGCCATGTTTTGTATCCCTCTGGAAACAAGAAGAACTAATCCTGTTCTCAGATGCAAAAGTCTCCTTTGCATCTAACTCTACTAGATGCTATCCATTTAAAAAAATCTCAATGATGCCTCAAAGACATCTTTGAAAACCATTCAGTATAGAAGCAATTTTGATGTGATTTCAAAGCTAGAAAGATACATTATTATGGAAACAGGATTTGGGCTGATTTGAATTTCATCTGCTCCTGCTGCTTATTCTGTCCTTGTGAAGTGATAATGCCCCTTTATGGCAATATTAGATTTTTTTCTACTTTTCTGAAAAGTATTGTTAGAAGTAAAATATGGTGATTCTAGCTAGGAGTAACAAGAGCAGATGAAATCCTAAACTACAGAAATTCCATACTCTTAGATGAGAAGAGCTTTCTTTATTTCAGTTGAAATTCTATCTTTGGCTATCATGAATGCTATTAAAACCAATGTTTATAATGAAGAGCATAAATTATTTTTATAGATGCCTGATTTGGTAATCAATGGAGTTTTTAAGAGAGTGGTAATCAGATCATTCTAAATTGTGATTAAATAACAATACATTATTATTTGATTATCAAAATTTCATTGAAAAATCTTTACTAAGAGGCAAAGCTAAAATTTTGATTTTTTGAATAGAATAAAATATTGTTAGGTTTACAAGGCAATATTTGCTCTGTGCCAAAAATAAAGTCATGAATCAATGAGTAGTGCTGTAAGAAGGTGACTTTTAATTTTGCATAAATGGAAAAGTTAGGGAGGCATGTGTCTACTGTACCATCAGAAATGGGGTTGGATTGAGCATTGAAATTAAGGCTTGGATCCAATTTGGATTTATGCTAAGGTCTTGCATTATGGGGTAGTTGTCCCAAGTAAAATGCGCTGTTCAGGCATCCAGTGGACTTCTAAGGGCAATACTGTGGAATTGAAGACTTCAAGTCTTGATATGTTGGAGATTAGAATAGTAATATGGGTGCTAGGGGGTACATATATGTTCCCTACCTATTTATTCAGTTGGAGTGGCATAATTAATGGTTTTATTTTCACACACAACTAATCAGTTCCCCAAATGTGTTAATACACAATCTTGACTCATCTCTCTTCCCCAAATTACTTGAGATCAATACGTTAGATTGTTTTAATATTACTCTTAATAATTGTATGAAGAACCTATTAGGGCTTTTTTTCCTTACCTTATTTTATCAGCCAGAAAGGTCTGCAGAAGAAAACATTTAAATGTTTGTTGAATAATAGTCAAAAGATCATACTTGATCTCAGAATATTCTAGAAAGATATAATAATAAAAAATATGGTACTGGCATAGAAACAGACATAAAGACCAGTTGAACAAAATAGAAAGCCCCAAAATAAATCCATACTTTTACAGTCAAATGGTCTTTGACAAAGGTACCAATGGGGGGAATGTATAGTCTCTTCAAAAAATGAAGCTGGACAAATTGGTTATTCACATGTGGAAAGAAATTGGACCCTTATCTCATACCGTATACAAAAATCAGCTCAAAGTGAATCAGAAGCTTAAGCTGTGACTTGAAATCTTAAAACTACTAGAAGAGAACATAGGGAAAAGTCTTCATTACATTAGTCTGGGCAATGCTATTTTTGATATGACCCAAAAGCACAGAAAACAAAAGCAAAAATAAACTAATCAAACTGCATAAAACTAAAACGTTTCTGCACAACAAAGAAAATAACAAATGAGACAACTATTAAATGGGGGAAAATATATGCAAACTATACAATTGATGAGGTGATAATATCTAAAATATATAAGGAATGCAAACAACCCATTAGTAAGAAAACAACTTGACTTTTTTTAATGGAAAAAGGACATGAATTGACTTTCCCAAAAGAGGTAAAAAATAGCCAGCAGACATATTAAAAATTCCTCAACAACAGTGAAGGTTAAAACTCTAATAATATATCATATTCTTCTTGTTAGAATGGCTGCTATCAAGAAGACAAAAGATAACAAATGCTGGAGAAAATGTGGAGAAAAGTAAGCCCTGTACACTGTTGGTGGGACTGTAAATTGCTAAAACCATTATGGAAAACAATGAAGGTTCATCAAAAAATTAAAAATAATAGTACTACCATAGGATCCAGGAATCCTACTTCTGGGTATATATCCAAAGGAAATAAAATTAGTATGTTGAAGAAATATATGCACCATGTTCATTGCATCATTATTCCCAATAGCCAAGATATGGAATCAACCCAAGTGTTCAGCAACAGTTAAATGGATAGAAAATGTTAATATTTATATTACACATATAAGATTATGCCATATTTGTATAAAATATATATACCTATATATTTTGTATATGCATATATTATACAAATATATAATCGTATATGTTGATTGTATAATATATATACACACACACATACATACATACATACATATCATATTAGTCTTTTCTCACACTGCTACCTGAGACTGGGTAATCCATAAAGAAAAGAGGTTTAATTGACTGACAGTTCCACATGGCTGGGGAGACCTCAGGAAACTTACAATGATGGCAGAAGAGGAGGCAGGCAACTTCTTCGCAAGAAAGCAGGAGAGAGTGTGAATAGAAGAACTGCCAGATGCTTATAACCGTATCAGATATCATGAGAACTCACTCAATATCACAAGAACAGCATGGGGGAAACCGCCACCATGATGCAATCACCTCCCACTAGGTCTCTCCCTCAACACTTAGGGATTACAATTCAAGTTGAGTTTTGGGTGGGGACACAAAGTCTAACCATATTACATATATATTACACAAATATATAATTGTATATATTGATTGTCTATGTATATATTAATTGTATATAGTTGATTTTTATATATGTGTGAGATAAGGGTAATAAACACACACACACAGAGAATGGAAGAGTATTCAGGCTTCAAAAAGAAGAAAATCCTGTCATTTGCAACAATGTGGATGAATCTGAAGGACATTATGCCAAGTGAAGTAAGCCTGGCACAGAAAAACAAATACTATATATACTTACTTGTATGTGCAATCTAAAAAAGTTGAGCTAATAGGAGCAGAGGGTAGAATGGAGGTTGCTAGGACATGGAGTTTGGGATAAATGAGGAGATGGTGATTAAAGGGTACAAAGTTTCAGTTAAGCAGGATGAGTAAGTCCTGGAGGTCTAATATGGAGCCTGACTATTGTTAATATAGGAACATATAATATGATATTGTGTAGTTGAAATTTGCTAAGAAGGTAGATCTCAAATCTTCTCACCACACACACACACACACACACACATACACACACACACACACACACAATAGCAATTATGTGCAGTGACAGATATGTCGATTAGTTTGATTACGTTAATCATTTCACAGCGTATATCAAAACATCACATTGTACCCAAAAGTAGATTCAATTATTGTCAATTGCATCTCATTAAAGCTGAAGAAAAAAGAGTCCTGCACTGGGTGGGGCAGATTGGAGACTATTTTATTCAGCCAATAAGAATAAAGGTGGAAGTTACAATGCTAAGGGAAAAAGGAGTCAAAAGATTAGTAATAGAAGTTTCTGGCTGTGATTGTCTTAAGAAAAATCTCTATCAGTTCAATGCCTAAGGAAGTATCCATTCTGTATATGTGAAGATAAATTTATCTTCATTTTAAAAGACTTTGGGGAGAGCTAAAGTTTTGTGTCTCCAAATAATGTCTTTTGGCTCTATTACAGACTTTATTGTATATATTGATTTTATATAATTGTATATATTATTTGCATATAGTTGATTTTTGTGTCCTGAACCTTTCCCTTAACCTTTTCAATTTAAACTTTGGCTATAAAGTGAATGATCTATACTCTGTATTAGTCAGAGTCCTCTAGAGAGACATTAGAAATAGAAGAGAGATAGTACATAGAAAGAGATAGAAATATATGAAAGGAGATTTATTTGGAGAATTGGCTCATGTGATTATGGAGGCTGGGAAGTCCCACAAAAGGCCATCTGCAAACTGAAGACCCTGGGAGGGCCGTATCGTGGTACACTCCAAGTCTGAAAGCCTCAGAAAAAGAGGAGCTAGGTCTTACTTTTAAGTCCTTAATACATCTTGAGTTAATTTTTGCAAAAGGTGTAGGGAAGGGGTCCAGTTTCAGTTTTCTGTATATGGCTAGCCAGTTTTCCCAACACTATTTATTAGATAGGGAATCCTTTCCCCATTGCTTGTTTTGGTCAGATTTGTCAAAGATCAGATGGTTGCAGATGTGTGGTGTTATTTCTGAGGCCTCTGTTCTGTTCCATTGGTCTAGATATCTGTTTTGGTACCAGTACCATGCTGTTTTGGTTACTGTAGCCTTGCAATATAGTTTGAAGTCAGGTAGCATGATGCCGCCAGCTTTGTTGTTTTTGCTTAGGATTGTCTTGCTTGTATGGGCTCTTTTTTGGTTCCATATGAACTTTAAAGTAGTTTTTTCTAATTCCGTGAAGAAAGTCAATGGTAGCTTGATGGAGATAGCATTAAATCTATAAATTACTTTGGGCAGTATGACCATTTTCACAGTATTGATTCTTCATATCCATGAACATGGAATGTTTTTCCATTTGTTTGTGTCCTCTCTTATTTCCTTGAGCATTGGTTTGTAGTTCTCCTTGAAGATGTCCTTCACATCCCTTGTAAGTTGTATTCCTAGGTATTTTATTCTCTCTGTAGCAGTTGTGAATGAGAGGCACTCGTGATTTGGCTCTCTGTTTTTTTTTATTATTGGTGTATAGGAATGCTTGTGATTTTCGCACGTAGATCTTGTATCCTGAGACTTTGCTGAAGTTGCTTATCAGCTTAAGGAGATTTTGGGCTGAGACGATGGAGTTTTCTAAATATACAATCATGTCATCTGCAAACAGAGACAATCTGATTTTCTCTCTTCCTATTCAAATAACTTTATTTTTTTCTCTTGCCTAATTGCCCTGGCCAGAACTTCTAATACTATATTGAATAGGAGTGGTGAGAGAGGGCATCCTTGTCTTGTGCCAGTTTTCAAAGGGAATGCTTCCAGATTTTGCCCATTCAGTATGATACTAGCTGTGGGTTTGTCATAAATAGCTCTTATTATATTGAGATACATTCCATCAATACCTAGTTTATTGAGAGTTGTTAGCATAAAGTGGTGCTGAATTTTATTGAAGGCCTTTTCGGCATCTATTGAGATAAACCATAAAAACCATAGAAGAAAACTTAGGTAATACCATTTAGGACATAGGCATGGGCAAAGACTTTAGTACTAAAACACCAAAAGCAATGGCAACCAAAGCCAAAATTGACAAAACGAATCTAATTAAACTAAAGAGCTTCTGTACAGGAAAATAAACTATCATCAGAGTGAACAGGAAACCTATCATCTAATATCCAGAATCTACAACATGCTAATATCCAGAATATACAAAGAACTTGAACAAATTTACAAAAAAAAAAAAAACAACCGCATCAAAAAGTGGGCAAAGTATATGAACAGACACTTCTCAAAAGATGACATTTATGTGGCCAACAAACATATGAAATACAGCTCATCATCATTGGTCATTCAAGAAATGCAAATCAAAACACAATGAGATACTATCTCGCACCAGTTAAAATGATGACCATTAAAAAGTCAGGAAACAACAGATACTGGAAACAATGTGGAGAAGTAGGAACGCTTTTACACTGTTTGTGGGAGTGTAAATTAATTCAACCATTGTGGAAGATGGTGTGGTGATTCCTCAAGGATCTAGAACCAGAAATGCCATTTGACCCAGCAATGTCATTACTGGGTATATACCCAAAGGATTATAAATAATTCTACTGCAAAAACACATGCACACGTATGTTTATTGCAGCACTGTTCACAATAGCAAAGACTTGGAACCAACCAAAATGCCCATTAATTATAGACTGAATAAAGAAAATGTGGCTCGTACACACCATGGAATACTATGCAGCCATAAAAAAGGATGAGCTCATGTCCTTTGCAGGGACATGGATGAAGCTGGAAACCATCCTTCTCAGCAAACTAACACAAGAACAGAAAACCAAACACTGCATGTTCTCACTTATAAGTGCGAGGTGAACAATGAGAACACATGGACACAGGGAGGGGAACATCACACTCTGGGGCCTGTTTGGGGGTGGGGGGCAAGGAGAGATATAGCATTAGGAGAAATACCTAATGTAAATGACTGCTTGATGGGTACAGAAAACCACCATGGCACGTGTACACCTATGTAACAAACCTGCACTTTCTGCACATGTATCCCAGAACGTATGAACTCAAACAAATTTACAAGAAAAAAACAACCCCATCAATAAGTGGGCGAAGGACATGAACGGACACTTCTCAAAAGAAGACATTTATGCAGCCAAAAAACACATGAAAAAATGCTCACCATCACTGGCCATCAGAGAAATGCAAATCAAAACCACAATGAGATACCATCTCACACCAGTTAGAATGGCGATCATTAAAAAGTCAGGAAACAACAGGTGCTGGAGAGGATGTGGAGAAATAGGAACACTTTTACGCTGTTGGTGGGACTGTAAACTAGTTCAACCATTGTGGAAGTCAGTGCGGTGATTCCTCAGGGATCTAGAACTAGAAATACCGTTTGACCCAGCCATCCCATTACTGGGTATATACCCAAAGGACTATAAATAATGCTGCTATAAAGACACATGCACACATATGTTTATTGCGGCACTATTCACAATAGCAAAGACTTGGAACCAAGCCAAATGTCCAACAATGATAGACTGGATTAAGAAAATGTGGCACATATACACCATGGAATACTATGCAGCCACAAAAAATGAGTTCATGTCCTTTGTAGGGACATGGATGAAACTGGAAACCATCATTCTCAGCAAACTATCGGAAGGACAAAAAACCAAACACCACATGTTCTCACTCATAGGTCGGAATTGAACAATGAGAACACATGGACACAGGAAGGGGAACATCACACTCTGGGGACTGTTGTGGGGTGGGGGGAGTGGGGAGGGATAACATTAGGAGATATACCTAATGCTAAATGACGAGTTAATGGGTGCAGCACACCAGCATGGCACATGTATACATATGTAACCAACCTGCACATTGTGCACATGTACCCTAAAACTTAAAGTGTAATAATAATAAAATAAATAAATGAATAAAACGAAAAAGAGAAGCTAATTATGTAATTCTAGGTACAAGGCCAAATGCCTGAGAATGTGGGAGGTCACTGATTTGAGTCCTGTATTCCCCAGATCAGAGACCCTGGAATTGTGATGTACAAGGGAAAGATGAGGAGAGCCTCCCAGCTGCAGAAGAGAGAGAGAGATTATTTTTTTCTCTCCTTTTTTTTGTTTTAAATGGGCCCCTAGCTGATTGGGTGGTTCTTGCGCACATTGCGGGTGGCTCTTCCTCACTTTGTCCATTGACTCACCTGCCAATCTCTTCTGGAAACACCCTCACAGACACACCCTAAAATAATGCTGTGCTACTTCTTTAGGTATTCCTTAATTCCGTTACCTTGACACCAAAAATTAACCATCATACTCCCTGTTCAGGATTATCCTTGGAGATCAAACTGGCTTTGAGATTTTTTTTTTAGATTGTAAAGAAACATATGTTTCTTTATTCAAAGAACATTTTGTCTCCCGGTTAGTCATAATTAGCTATGTGGTGTGATTCTGTCATGAGGTGACTTACGGTAGATCAACTAGTGCTTAATCTCTTCTTTTAATTGAAATGGCATTGGTGGAGGGATCCGTTTTTAACCTCTAGTTTCTGTTAAATGTTTTCTGCAAGCAAATTTGCCAACCTGTGTAGCTCGTGGTGAAGTATACATTCTTCCTTGCTAGGTGAATGTGTATTGTTGTTGATTGTCTCTGTCTCTGGATCGGGTTTGGTTAGGGAAGGTGAGCAGGAGGGAAGAGAGAAGGAAAAATATCCGTAAACAAGTTGAGTGGTTTCTGAAAGATATATTTTAGGAATAAAGTTCAATGTATTTTAGCATTCTATACAATATTGTCACTGTCAAATTCCATACATTGTTTTTGGCTTACAGGGGGTTTAATAATTGTAGACTCCCCAACCCTTCAGACTCTAAGGTAAATTCTTATGTGTCTTTTATTGTACTCACCTCCCTATATTTTTTTAAAAAGCATTGATTTTAGGATATCTTAAACAATTATCTGACTTCCTTTACACTGTGGTTCATTATAAAAGATTTAGTTTTCTGACAATTGTAATGTCAGTTGAAAGTTGAAAATCATAATTGCTGTTCTAATAATGTTTTTAGGAATATCATTATAAGGGAAAGCATGGGCATCTTTTTACTACCTAAAGTGATAATAGTACCTCTTTCCCAGGTAACAGTATGTCTCCAAACCCACCTATTCTGACTTACTTTTCTCAAAATTTAAGGATCCTGTCATTCCTTGTAAACCCCAAGAAGAGTGGATTTTACCACTTGTTGAATGACTTTGTATGTATTTTCGGGTCTTAGGGTCACAATGAATGAGTAATGGGTATTTGAAGGGGCCAGGTAGTAACTTTTCTGTAACTAAGTCCCTATTAGGATCAGATCTATTTTAAAAGGTCGCTACTACATTAGTGGGCAAGGCCAATGCCTAGTGTTAGAACTGAGATTCATAAAGTCTAGCGTAAAGGACTGGACTTCATACTTTCTATC
Source organism: Homo sapiens (assembly GCF_000001405.40). Lineage (NCBI taxonomy): Eukaryota > Metazoa > Chordata > Mammalia > Primates > Hominidae > Homo > Homo sapiens. The sequence goes on along the minus strand of NC_000011.10, from coordinate 40,733,625 downwards.
TGAGATTTAAGAGTCTTTAACTATTAGCCTTATGAAAGAGAAGAGATAGTATATGATTCAGGAAACTCATAATAAATTATCTAAACCCAAACATCTCTTTGGGTAGAAGTGCAGGCTAAGTGGGTTCAATCTGGATCCCAAATCAATTTTTAACATAACAAAATTGACAGATTTAACAAATATGTTTTTATAGTTCTGAGGATTGTATAAAGATATATGGCAAAAACTCCTTAATAAAATAATCTATATTCAGGCGGGCACCGTGGCTCACGCCTGCAATCCCAGCACTTTGGGAGGCCGAGGAGGGCGGATCAGGAGGTCAGGAGATCAAGACCATCCTGGCTAACATGGTGAAACCCTGTCTTTACTAAATACACAAAAAATTAGCCGGGTGTGGTGGCAGGCGCCTGTTGTCCCAGCTACTCGGGAGGCTGAGGCAGGAGAATAGCGTGAACCCGGGAGGCGGAGCTTGCAGTGAGCCGAGATCTCGCCACGCTACTCCAGCCTGGGTGACAGAGTGAGACTCCATCTCAAAAAAAAAAAAAAAAAAAAAAAAAAAAAAAACTATATTCATAACTGGTTTTGGATCCAGGCAGACATACATTCCAACCTCTGTGATGGTAGTTACTAGATGTGGATCCTTAGACCAAGTAGTTATGTTACAGTCCTCATCTGTAAAATAGAAACCAAAGTATTTAGCATATAGTAAAGAGTTAAATGGGTTAAGAATGTCTTAACCTAATAAATGATCCACAAATGGTTAAAATATTCCACGAATAAAGATAGTAGAGCTGGACAAAGTAGTAAGTACTTGGCATACCTCATTTAGCATTCAAAACAACCCTGGTAGTTGGGGTTTTTAATGTGCACTTTATACTTTCATATTGTTAACTTTAAAAAGATTAAATAACTAGTTAGTTTTTGAAGCTCAAAAGTCACCATAGTGAAAATGATAAAGATGAAGGTAATGATTGTGATAATGATGGATGTGATGTGGACTGAGACTATGCATAGAATAGATATCACACTATTTCCTTCCTTATGTGTGATCTCTTTCTTCTAGCATGCCTTCTAGGGATGTGTAATCTCCCATAGAGTCTTGGCTCAGCGTGTAAAAGGAGCAAACTCAATAACAACTGCTTGAATTTACACTTAGTGTCACTTTAACTTCTGGAAGAAAGACGCTGAATTGGAAAAGCAAATACCAGAAAATGAACTAGAGAGACCATCATTCAGCAAGAAAATTACGGCTTAAACCATTGAGATTTTTGGCAGAGGCTTGCATTTTGGACGCCAATATTTACTTTTTTGGGAGAGCTTTCATCCAATTATTGTACCTCCTTGAGTAAGCTACAATTTGAGTTAGCTGGAAGATTCTTTCTTTTCTGTTGGCAATGTGAGGGCCATACTTTTTTTTCTGATAATGGTTGCACAAACTGTTCAATAATTTTTACCTTAGGTGAACTTTACCCAGCATTTATAAGAACTTTACAAAATAATTAACAGAAGAAACGCAATTATAGAAACTTCTATTGAAAATAAGCATTTAAACTTTGTTTTTTTTTTGGTTTTTTTTTGCATATTACTACTTTACTTCCCAGGCAAGGAGGTGTTCCTAGGATAGAAGATTGTCTGCTTGATTTTTTTAAAGAACTTTTCAAAAAAGGTCCATGCAAACATCTATTTAGTGTTTATATTTAGCAACATATTTAGCAACATATTTAGTGTTGCTAAATATTGTTGTCAGAAGACTCCATTCATAGAGTAACAAAGCACCTTTCATTTAATAAATTAGAAAAATAAAGAAGCTGTTTACTTTTGTTAACTGTGACCTACTAATGAGATGGCATTTTCTTCCCCATCTGTTTCTGATTATGTATATGATTTCAAGTTGCCAAGGCTGTTCTGTTCATAGCACATTATAGTGGCAGAGATTTTGTTGTTTGTATTCAATTTGAACCAATATATTTTCCACATGTAAAGTAGATGAAAGAGAAATGCTTTGAAGGTGAAGGGGTAAAGAAAGAATAATGTCGTAATGGGAGTGTACTAGGCCATTCTTGCATTGCTATAAAGAAATACCTGAGACTGGGTAATTTATAAAGAAAAGAAATTTAATTGGCTCATGGTTCTGTAGGCTGTACAAGCATGGTACCAGCATCTGCTTGGCTTCTGGGGAGACCTCAGAGAACATTTACTTATGGCAGAAGGTAAAGCAGGAGCAGTCATGTCACATGGCCAGAGCAGGAGCAAGGGGCGGTGGGGAGAGGAGGTGCCTCACACTTTATTTATTTATTTATTTATTTTGAGACGGAGTCTGGCTCTGTTGCCCAGGCTGGAGTGCAGTGGCGTGATCTCAGCTCACTGCAAGCTCCGCCTCCCGGGTTCACGCCATTCTCCTGCCTCAGCCTCCCGAGTAGCTGGGACTACAGGCACTTGCCACCACGCCCGGCTAATTTTTTATATTTTTAGTAGAGACGGGGTTTCACCATGTTAGCCAGGATGGTCTTGATCTCCTGACCTCGTGATCCGCCTGCCTTGGCCTCCCAGAATGCTGGGATTACAGGCGTGAGCCACCACGCCCGGACGGCCACACACTTTTAAACAACCAAATCTCGTGAGAACTCATTCACTATCACAAGTGGATCACACCATGAGATTTCCACCCCCTTGAGACAAACACCTCCCACCAGGCCCTACAGCCAACACTGGGGATCACATTTCAACATGAGATTTGGCAGGGACGCAGATCCAAACTATCAGAAAGTAAAAAATAAACATGATATTAAGCAGAAAAGGTGGGCTTCACTTTAGTTGAGGCTGTGACAAATCTAAATGAAGGCACTCAGAATGAAGGTAACACTCAATTGTCCACAGGCAATGCAAATGTTTATAATAATTCATAGCCTCAGTCAGATTATTTTTTTCTTTCAAATGTTATAATAAAGTTCAAAGTCAAATAACAAAATCTGATTGAGCCTCTGTGATAAGTGAAAGAGACGATGTGTTGGACCAGACATTAGAATAACTGGGTTCTTGCACTATTTTAAAATTATTTTTCTGGGTGAATTTATTCAACTCATCTATTGCCTTTAAGTCTCAGTTTATTTATGATATGATGAAAGCTGGTTTATAGGTCTTCCACAGTCTCTTCTACCTCAAAACTTTAAACCTGTATCTCTATGGAAATATATTCCCCATTTCTATCTTATTGAAGAATATATTAAGATCCATTTGCATGCATAACGTTTGGGGTTCTACGTGGTTAAACAGAAAAAATGTAGTGGTTGGGACACCTTTTATTTTGAGGAATTCATAGGTCCTACAGTTGGCCAAATTCCTTAATATTTGAAGTTTTTTTTTATTTTTTTAAATTATACTTTAAGTTTTAGGGTACATGTGCACAGTGTGCAGGTTAGTTACATATGTATACATGTGCCATGCTGGTGCGCTGCACCCACTAACTTGTCATCTAGCATTAGTTATATCTCCCAATGCTATCCCTGCCCCCCCCAACCCCACAACAGTCCCCAGAGTGTGATATTCCCCTTCCTGTGTCCACGTGATCTCACTGTTCAATTCCCACCTATGAGTGAGAATATGCGGTGTTTGGTTTTTTGTTCTTGTGATAGTTTACTGAGAATGATGATTTCCAATTTCATCCATGTCCCTAAAAGGACATGAACTCATCATTTTTTATGGCTGCATAGTATTCCATGGTGTATATTTGAAGTTATTTTCAGCATCTCTCTCTACTTGCCATTTATTTTCACAGTATAGTAGGAACTTGTTGAAGAATATTAAGTATAAAAATGATATGATTCTACCATTATAAAAAACATAGGTTTATCTACTATGAATGATCGTGTGTGAAGGTGTAATTTTAAAATGATTATGTGGTTAGAAGGGATTCTCAGAGGTGGTGAGATTTTTAAAGTCCATAAGTGAAACCAATGAACTTTCAGTGTGTGAGTGGAGGAAGTTATAACATGTAAGAAAGAACGTCTCCATCCTTAGGCATTGATCAGAGATCAGGCAAATGTTGAGTGAGGACCAGGCTTTGGGGAATGATCTTACCTCCATATCATGCTGTGTAAGGCAAGATCATAAACAGAAACCATGGAGTTCAGGCAATATCAGGACCTGAAGCTGGCATGATGACTAGTAGGCCAGAAAAGGAGTCAAAAGGGTCTGGATTGAGATATTTTTACAAGAAAAGTGAGAAGGAATAAAAGTATATCATGGGAGTTACCTCTGTCTTGCCATCAGATGTCAGCAATTTAGATTCTTCAGTGTCATCCATAGTGTTCAGTACTTTTATTTTGACCTAATGACTGTAAAATATTAATAATGGCATTAGACATTGCAACATGTGCTAGTTTGCATCAAAATACACTAATTTCGACTAAAATATGCCAACAATAATTATTCTGGAACCAACTGAACATGCATTTTTACAATAATTTATTTATTATATTTTTATTTCAATTTTTATTTTAGATATGGGGGTACATGTGCAGTTTTATTACACAGGTATATTGCATGATGCTGAGGTTTAAGCTTCTATTGATCCTGTCACCCAGGTAGTGAAGATAATATTCAATAGAAAATTTTTCAGTACTTACCCCTCCCTCCCACCCTCCCTCTATCTGTGGTCCCCAGGATCTATTTTTTCCATCTTAATGTCGATGTGTACCCAAGAATTAGCTCCCATGTTTAGGAATATGCACTATTTGGTTTTCTCCTTCTATGTTAATTCATTGAGGATAATGACCTCCCGCTGCATCCATGTAGCTGAAAATGACAAGTTTTCATTCATTTTTATGGCTATGTATTATTCCATGGTGTATATGCACGTTCTTATGATCTTTGATCTAATCCACTGTTGATGTGCACCTAGGTTTATTCCATGACTTTGCTATGGTGAATAGTATAGTGATGAACATACAAATACATATGTCTTTTTGATAACATGAATTTTTTTTTTTTTTTTTTTTTTTGAGACGGAGTCTGACTCTGTCACCCAGGCTGGAGTGCAGTGGCGCAATCTCAGTTCACTGTAAGCTCCGCCTCTCTGGTTCATACCATTCTCCCGCCTCAGCCTTCCGAGAGGCTGGGACTACAGGCGCCCGCCAACACACCCAGCTAACTTTTTGTTTTTAGTTTTTTTTTTTTCTTTTTTTAGTAGAGAACGGGGTTTCACCGTGTTAGCCAGGATGGTCTCGATCTCCTGACCTCGTGATCCGTCCGCCTCGGCCTCCCAAATTGCTGGGATTACAGGCTTGAGCCACTGCGCCCGGCCAAAATGATTTCTTTTCTTTTGACATATACCCAGTAATGGGGTTTCTGGGTCAAATGGTAGTTCTATTTTTAATTCTTTGAGAAACCTCCAAACTGCTTTCTACAGGGGCTGAACTGATTTACATTCCCACCAAGAGTGTATAGCCATTTCTTTTTCCACAACCTTGCCAACATCAGTTATTTTTTGACTTTTTAATGATAGCCATGCTGACTGTTGAGAGATGGTACCTCATAGAGGTTTTGATTTGTATTTCACTTATGATTCGTGATGTTCATTATTTTTCCTGTGAGTCTCACTCTGTCACCCAGGCTGGAGAGCAGTGGCACAATCTTGGCTCCCTGAAACCTCTGCCTCCTGGGTTCAAGCGATTATCCTGCCTCAGCCTCCCCAGTAGCTGGATGTCATTTTTATCACACTCGGCTCATTGTTGTATTTTTAGTAGAGATAGGGTTTTGCCATGTTGGCCAGGCTGGTCTCAAACTCCTGAACTCAGGTGATCCGCCCACCTGAGCCTCCTAAAATGCTGGGATTACAGGTGTGAGTCATCGCACCCAGCCTTGTATGTCTTCTTTTGACATGTTCTTTGCCTGCTTGTAATAGGGTTATATGTTTTTTCTTGTTGCTTTGTTTAAGTGCCTTATAGGTTCGGGATATCGATCCTCTGTTGAATGCATAGTTTGTGAATATATCCTCCCATTTTATATGCTGTCGGTTTGCTCTGTTGATAGTTTCTTTTGCTGTGCAGAAGCTCGTTAGTTTAATTAGGCTCCAATTTTTCTTGCATTTGTTTTTGAGGACCCAGTTATAAATGCTTTGCTCAGGTTGATGTTCTGAAGAGTGTTTCCTAGGTTTTCTTCTAGGATTTTTATAGTGTGAAGTCTTACACTTAAGTATTTAATTCATCTTGAGTTAATTTTTTATATATGGTGAAAAACAGGGGTTCTTTTTCATTCTTCTGCATATGGCTAGCCAGTTTTCCTAGTACAATTTATTAATAGGGACTCCTTCCCCTATTGCTTATTTTTGTCAGCTTTGTTGAGGATCAGTTAGTTGTAGGTATGTGGCTTTATTTCTGGGTTCTGTATTCTGTTCCATTGGTCTAAGTGTCTAGTTTTGTACCCATATCATGCTGTTTTAGTTACTGGAGCCTTACAGTATGTTTGAAGTATGGTAAATGTGATGCCTGTCTTTGATCTCAACTCTCAACTATGTCTCAAATCTCAACTACGATTTCTTTCAGCAGTGTTTTCTAGTTCTCCTTGTAGAGATGTTTTTCCTTCTTGGTTAAATGCATTTCTAGTTAACTTTTTGTGGCTATTGTAAATGGGATTGCTTTCTTTATTTGGCTCTCAGTTTCAAAATTATTGATGTACAGAAAGGCTACTGATATTTGTTTATTGATTTTGTATACTGAAACCCTATCTAAGTTATTTATCAGGCCGAGGAGCCTTTTGGCAGAGTTTTTAGGGTTTTTAAAGTACAGAATTATATCATCAATAAAGAGAGATAATTTGACTTTTTTTTTCCTATTTGGATGACTTTTATTTCTTTCTCTTGTTTGATTACTCTCGCTTGGATTTCCAATACTATGTTGACTATGAGCATGGAGGGTGGGCATCTTTGTCTTCTTCCAATTTTTAAAGGGAATGCTTCCAGCTTTTTCCCATTCAGTATGATGTTGGCTGTGGGCTTGGCCAAGATGCCTCTTATTATTTGAAATATGTTCCTTCAGTGCTTAGTTTGTTAAGGGTTTTTAATCATGAAAGGATGTTGAATTTTACAGAAAGCTTTTCTGTATCTATTGAAATGATCATATGTTTTTTCTATGTTGAACCAATCTTGCTTCCCAGGAATGAAGGCTACTTGATTGTGACAAATTAAATTTTGATGTGCTCCTGGATTCAGTTTGCTAGCAATTGTTGAGAACTTTTGCCATCTATGATCCTCGTGGATATTGTCCTGTAATTTTCTGTTTTCCTTATGTCTTTCCCAGATTTTGGTGTCAGCATGATACTGTTTTCATAGAGAAGTTAGAGAGGCATCCATCCTCCTTGATTTTTCTGGAATAGTTTCAGTAGAATTGACACCAGCTCTCATTTGTACATCTAGTAGAATTTGGCTATGAATCCACATGGTCCAGGAATTTTTTTTTTTTTTTTGGTTGATAGGTTTTTAAATTACTGATTAAATTTCAGAACTCACTATTGGTCTTTTCAGGCTTTCAATCTCTTCCTGATTTAATTTTAGGAAGTTTTATGTTTCTAGGAATTTATCCATTTCCTCTATATTTTCTGGTTTGTGTGGATATAGAAGTTTTCCTAATAATCTCTGAGGATCTATTGTGGGATTTGTTGTAATGTCACTTTTGTCATTTTGTTCCTGCAACACAGGCTGTATTCTTGGCTCACACATAAGTAGAAATTAACAGGAGGCCAAACAGAAGTTTTTCTCAGGCAAGATGTAATAGGCTTGCAGCTCAAGCAATCCAAGGGAGCAGCACACAGGAAAGAGATGCTGATGCTAGGTTTCTGAAGGGCTTGGCTACTTCATTTTTAAAAAGCTGAGATGAGAAAAGGAGTGATATGTAGGCATGTACAGGCAGAGAACTTTTAACAGCTGTGCAGTTTGATAACATGTTTCTTTATGCATTATATGTTTCATTACCATGTTAAATCTCCACCCAAGGTATGATTTTTAGTATTATAATGAGATTATTATGAAGAAAATCTCAGTGAAAGATCAATGCTGGAGTCCACCTTGTCTTCAGCTGACTGGATCTTATCCAGTTCTTCTTCTTTTTTTTTTTTTTAAACAGAGTCTCGCTCTTTTGTCCAGGCTGGAGTGCAGTGGTGGATTCTCGGCTCACTGCCTCACTGCAAGCTTCACCTCCCAGGTTCACGCCATTCTCCTGCCTCAGCCTCCCTAGTAGCTGGGAATACAAGCACCTGCCACCATGCCCTGCTAATATTTTTTTATTTTTTAGTAGAGACAGGATTTCACTATGTTGGCCAGGATGGTCTCGATCTCCTGACCTCGTGATCCACCTGCCTCGGCCTCCCAGAATGCTGGGATTACAGGCGTGAGCCACTGCACCCGGCCTCCAGTTCTTATGGAGAATGCCAGAGTCTCACTTCAGTAAATGTGGAAGATGATCAGGTTCTTATCAGGAATGCTAGAGTCCTGCTCTGCCAACCTTGGGAGGCATCACTTGAGGAGATAAATGGTTATGCTCTTCCTTTATGGTTAGGAAATTAGCCTAGTCAGTTAGGTTAGGACAGGGTAGCTTTCTCCTGCATTACATGGGTCAGCTTGTTAAGGGAGGCAAGAAAGTAAGGGAGGGAATCTTCCTGGACATGTGAGATTCGTGGGGTCTTGGTTATCATATCCCTCATCTGCCAAGACTGAGTCTCTTCTCTATACTGTTCCAATTTCAGATTGTGCTTATTTGTATCTTCTTTTTTTTCTTTGTAAATCTAACTAACAGTCTATCAACCTTGTTTATCCTCTCAAACCAACTTTTGTTTTGTTAGTTCTTTGCATGATTTTTTGGGGGGTCTCAATTTCATTTAAATCTGATCTCATTTTGTTTATTTATTTACTTCTTGTTAGTTTTTGTTTCTCTAGTACCTTTAGGTGTGATGTTAGATTATTAATTTGAGATCTTTCTATGGTATTGATGTAGGTATTTGGTGTTACAAACTTTCCTCTTAATGTGGTTTTTGCCACATCCCAGAGATTTTGGTATGTAGTGTTTTCTGCTTTCATTTATTGCCAATAATTTTTTTTATTTCTGCTTTAATTTTGTTGTTTATGCAGATGTCATTCAGGAGCAAGATGTTTAGATTTCATGCAGTTGTGTGGTTTTGAGAGTTCCTCTTGGTATTTATTTCTATTTTTGTTTCACTCTGGCTCAATAGTATGCTTGGTATAATTTTGATTTTTTGAATTTATTGAGACTTGCTTTATCACCAAGCACACGCTTGGTCTTGGAGTATGTTCTGTGTGCTAAAGAGAAGAATGTGTATTCTGTGGTTATTGGGTGGAATATTCTGCCAATGTCTATTAGATCCAACTGGTCAAGTGTCAAATAGAGTCCAGAATCTTGTTGACAGTTTTCTTTCTCAGTGATCTGTCTAACGCTGTCAGTGGGGTTTTGAAGTACATCACTATTATTATGTAATTAAGTATTTTTGCAGGTCTAGAATTACTTGTTTTATGAGCCTGGGTGCTCCGATATTGGTTGTGTATATATTTAGGATAATTAAGCTTTCTTGTTGAATTGAACCCTTTATCATTATGTAATAACCTTCTTTGTCTTTTTTTTTAATGTTGTTGGTTTAACTTCTGTTTTTTCTGATACAAGAATACCAATCCCTGCTTTTTAAAAATTTTCCATTTGCATTGTAGATATTTCTCCATCTCTTTACTTTGAGCCTATGGGTGTCATTACATGAGAGATGGGTCTGTTGAAGACAGCAGAAGGTTGAGTCCTGTTTTTTAATACTATTTGCCGTTCTTTGTCTGTTAAGTGGGTGTTTAGACTATTTGCATTCACACTTAATATTGATATGTGAGGTTTTTCTCCTGTCATGATGGTGTTAGCTGGTTGCTTTGTAGTCTCCATTGCGTAGTTGCTTTATAGAGTCTGTGGGTAATGTACTTATGTATGTTTTTGTGGTAGGAGGTGTAATTTTTTTCCTTTCCATAGTCAGAAATCCCTTAAGTGTCTCTTATAAGGCCAGTCTAGTGGTAACAAATTTCATTAGCAATTGTTTGTCTGCAAAAGATTTTATTTCTCCTTTGCTTATCAAGCTTCGTTTGTCAGGATATAAAATTTTTGGTTGAAATTTCTTTCCTTTAAGAATGCTAAAAATAGGCCCCCAATCTCTTCAGACTTGTAAGTTTCCTGCTGAGAAATCTGCTGTTAGCCTGATGGGGTTTTCTTTATAGGTGATATGATGCTTTTCTCTAGCTGCCTTTTAGAATTTTTTTTTTTTGCATTAATCTTAGAAAGTCGGATGACTATGTGTCCTGGGGATGATTGTCTTATATAGTATCTTGCAGGGGTTACTTGAATTCTTCATATTCCCCTGTTGACCTCTCTAGTGAGCTTTGGGAAATTTTTATGGATTATATCCTCAAATATGCTTTCCAAGTTGGTTACTCTCTCTTCTTCTCTCTCAGAAATGCCAATGAGTCATAGGTTTGGTCACTTTACATAATTCCACATTTCTTGGAGGCTTTTCTCATTTTTAAAAATTTATTTTTTCTTTATTTTTGTCTGATCAGATTGATTTGAAGGACTATTCTTTAAGCTCTAAAATTCTTTCCCCTGCTTGGTCTCATCTGTTGTTAAGGCTTCCAAATGTATTTTGAAATTCCTGTAGTGAATTTTTAAATTCCAGAAGTTCAGTTTGGGTTCTTTCTTAATATAGCTATGCCATCTTTTAAATTTTGGATTATTTTTCTGGCTTCCCTAAATTGAATGACAACTTTCTTTGGATCTTGTTACACTTCCTTGCCATCAAGATTCTGAATTCTATGTCTGTCATTTCAGACATTTCCATCTGGTTAGGATCCATTGCTAGGGAGCTAGTGTGATCCTTTGGAGGTAACAAAACACTCTGACTTTTTGAATTTCTAGAGTTCTTGCACTGAGCCCTTCTCATCTGAAGGAGCTGGAGTTTCTTTTTCTTTTTAAATTTGTTGTCAGTCAGAAGGGGCTCTTTGTTCTCATATTCTTAGTTTATTTCTTCGAGTGTTTGACTGCAGTGTATGTTGTGTAAGGGGATTGTCTTTGTTTCTGGGTGCTTTCAGGGGCCCAAGGCTCAATGTGGGTTTCTTGGTTGTAGACAGGTTTCTGCAGGTTTCACAGCATTACATTTTGAAGCAGTGTAGTTTTCTTTGTTGGTGTAATTCAGGCTGTCGTCCAGTAGACGGCGCGTAAGAGTAAAGGCTGGCAAATAGGCGCTTAGCGGCGGTACCTCCTTAATATTCAGTGCATGTGCAGCCGTGCTCTCTCTAGGGAGGAGAGGAGAGGAGCGAGAGATGACTCCCATTCCAAGTCCATAAAACTATTATTTAAATTTCAAAAGCAATATATGTCTATAATTACCAAATAGTACAAAATGAACAAAATTAAAATTAATAAATAAAAATATCTCCCTCCCCACACATACATACAAGTGCACACTTCCTAGAAATAGAAGCGCTAGCAATTTTTAAATACATTTGTCTGTAATTTTTTTGTGGATGTAAAAACGTAATACAACACATAATCTAACCAGGGTTCCCTCCTTTCTTCCACTATTCTCTGAGAACTCAGTTTGAACAGTGATGTTATCATGGTTTCAATCTTTATTTTTTATTTATTTATTTTGAGAGGGAGTGTCGCTCTGTCGCCCAGGCTGGATGGAGTGCAGTGGCGCGATCTTGGCTCACTGCAAGCTCTGCCTCCTGGGTTCACGCCGTTCTCCTGCCTCAGCCTCCGGTGTAGCTGGCATTACAGGCGCCCACCACCGCGCCCGGCTAATTTTTTGTATTTTTAGGGTTTCACCACGTTAGCCAGGATGGTCTCCATCTCCTGACCTCGTGATCCGCCCACCTCGGCTTCCCAAAGTGCTGGGATTACAGGCGTGAGCCACCACGCCCAGCCCAATCATTCTTACTTTGTTTTCTTATCCTATATTGCTGATGACCAGAAGTGATCTTCTCTAATATTATTGGGTATCTACCCAACCAGGCTTCCTATGTGTCCACAATAAGAAAATGAGAATAAGTGAATCTGATTACTTGGCAAAAGTTAGGTAATATCAGCTGCTCTTGAAACTCAAGTGTCTTAGTTTAAGCTGCTATAACAAATTACCTTAGACTGGGTGGCTTAAACAACAAACATTTACTTCTCACAGTTCTGGAGCCTGGAAAGTCTCAGATCAAGGTGATGGCAGATCTGTTGTCTGTGAAGCATCTGCTTCCAAGTTTGCAATGGCTGTGTTATCCTCATATCCTTATAGGGCAGAGGGCACAAATGGAAAACAAACTCTCTCAAGCTTCTTCTAATGAGGGCCCTAATTTCATCAAAAGTGTTCTACCCTCATGATCTAATTCCTTCCCAAAGGCCTTATCTTCAAATTCCACCGCACTGGGGATCTAGATTTTAATAGATAAATTTGGGAAGGATACAAGCATTCAGTCCATAGTATTGACTCAGTGAATGATGTTTGGATGAATTTCTGAATCATACCCTAAAGATCTCTATGGAAGACAGCATTCTGTGTCTTCTTTACTAATAGTAAGTATAGAAAGAAATGAATTCCTGTTCTAGAGGACTATATTCTTCACTTCCTATAATGAATAGGCTCATCTCCTATGGCAAGGGTCCCTTTCAGACAGCAGGAGCTACAGATAAAAATTACTTAATTTAAGCCAAAATAAATCCTGCTTGTATCATTTGAAATCTCACCTCTGAAAACGTGATTATACTCTTTGCTCATGAATAACACCTATACATCATACTATAAATCACCAAGATTTTATTCTGTGAATTAAACAGAAGGCGTATCTTTAATGATAAAATGATTCTTTGGGGGGAAAAATAGAAAGAGTCTAATCGTATATTGTTCTGAGACCTCTATCAAGTTACACAAGATTATCACTTTCTTCACCTTAAACAAATATCATGAACAAATTTTAGCTACCTGGAAGGTGAAGACGAGGTGGTACCTGACCTCCCAATGCCATGTCCTCTGTCCCTTGTCTGAATCCCCTGGTTTATATAATCACTATGTTTCACTTGGTCCCTTAGGCATTCTCTTGTACTGCTAACTATCGTTTTTGAACTTATATCTCTTAAGGAACTTGATGGCAAAGATCAAGTCTATTAATTTTTCAAATAAATGATGACTATACAGTAGGAATCAGGCCTGAGCTGTTTTCGTTTTGTCATTCTTTGATCTCCTTGATGGTTTTGGAAAACAGTAGAAATCCAGTCTTTTCTGACAGTTTGAACTAGGTTACCTAAAAATGAAATAAAAGAAAGATGCCTATATTTGAAAGGACCAAATGGAGTTATCTTTATAAAACCAGAAGAATGAAGAGAGCCTGAGCTTTGTAATTCATATGTGTGATCTTTCATGAAGTTAGGAGATGAGACAGTGCTACAACTAATGAGAAAATAGGATTAAAGACAAAGAAGGGGAGATGGGAAAAGAAACATGAGTCCTGGGAGAATGGGTCCCAACCTAAGCATCATAGATGAGGGATAAGCAAGGCTGACACTATAAAGGGCACGGCTGAAATTAGAGGTGGAGATTCACCAAAGGCAAACTACTCACTTCCCAATTTGCCTAAGAATCTCCAAAATTAAATCAAATTAAAATTTTTTTTTTAATTAAAGGAAGCAAGTTGGATAGTTTTCAGAAAGAAATTTTGATTCAGACTGTAATCTGAATACAATTTCACTAGCCACTTTGAATCCGATTTTCTTCAATGTGTCAGGGAAATATTTTAAAGGCCACTGAATATCCACAAAGCTCCAACACTGACACCAATAATTGTGGTTTAAAGGGTGATAATGGATCCCAAATGACAATGTACAAATATAATTTCTTACTCCAATGTTCCTTATAATTTTCTCTGAGAGGATGGGGAGCAATATTAAAACATGGCAGTTTGCATAGACAAACATAATTTTGCTCACTGCAATTACTGCAGCCAGTCACGGTATATCCTCAGTAGTAGAATTTTCATCATCCAAAAGCAGCTTTGCTTTCCTCAGTAATATTCAGGACAGATGGAATTGGATTTCTCATTCTGTGCCTCTTTGGGATATTACAGACCTCACATTAAAGTCATTAGCTATGACTCCGAGATCTAACGGCAGTAAAAGTTTGCTTGGAAAAATAGTAATTTTTTTCTGGTCACTTTTCTAACTTTAACTCCCTTTTTTAGTTGACTTTCACTATTATCTGGTAGTGAACAATTGACTTTTGTCATTTTCTCTTAGAAGACTAGAATTAAAAATATTCATGGTTTGCAGTAATGCATTCACTACTATGGCAAAATGTTGCCAATTGGTGTTTTTCTCCTCTTTTTCAAGAGATGATTACATGTTCACAATTTACAAGGTATTGTACACATTTCAGCAGGAAATTGTAAGCCTTTATCTTTTGACAGCAAGAAGGAATTACTGCCCTTTTTAAAATAGCTTCTCTATTTTGTCCAAATAAATGATTCATGCTAGAGACTTCATGATTTCTTTTGTTGGCTTCTGTGAATTTCAGCAAGGGCCGTCAAAAGAGAAGTAATGCATTTCTGAAAATTTCAGAAAATTATAGGTTTTATATGAGAAGGAGGATGCATTCAAGTATCTTTAGTCCTGGTTTCTTCTTCCTTCTATGCTTTATTAATGCAAAGCTTAGAGGAAGGAAAAGAAAATAAATGAGAGGGTAGGAAATGAATATATTCTTTATCTGTCTCCAGTGACTGCTCAGTGCCCAGTTTCCTTATCCAGATAGGAATAAAAGAAAGTAAGAGATGTCTGTATCCATGTTGACTAATACCTACAACCAACTCAGAAAACTCCTTTTATTTACAAATAGCAGCATGCTTTTGTGAGCGCTTGCTTATTCCAGAAGTTTCTGTATCTTTTATAAGTTCAATAATAAAATAACCTATTAATACATTTATGCAGTAACATATTATTTTTGGTGCTATTTGACTTGTAGTTTACTTAGACTCTTGCTGCTCTTAGAAATACATAACTGGCAGGTGACCTAAGTGTCCTCTAATCTTTGTAATCATTATACCTATGCATGGAGTAAATTCCTTTAGCGCCTCAGCTGGTCTGCATGAAAGCAGTGGTTAAAAGTTTGCAATTCTATTATTAAAGTTAAATCCTGGCACATTGCTTCCATCTCTTGCTTTCTCGCACCCCAGGGTTTCTCAATCTCAGCATTATTTTCATTTGGGGATGGATAATTTTTGTTTTGGAAGGCTGTCCTATGCATTGTAAAATGTTTAGCTGTATCCCTGGCTTCTACACACAAGATGCCTGTAGCACCGACACCCCTCATTTGTAACAAATGTCTTCAGACATTGTCAGATGATCCTCCCTGGTGAACAAAATCACTCATGACTGACGGCCACTGCCCTGTGTTATGCAGGCATACCAATTTATTTGAAATTCTTCAGAAATGATTACATAGGCATCCACCATGCGTTTGATGGAATCTAAAGGATAAAGGCAATTGTAAAGTTGTGGATATGTATACAGATCCTCTTTTATCTAATCTGAACATTCATTGCTGGTTTTTGTACATTTAAGACATACACACACATGCACACGTGTCTCTAGATTTTTAAATCTTAATATCTGTTCCATATCAGTTATAGCAAACAGAGTAATTGTGGTATATACTACCAGATATTTAAGCCATCTTTGCATTTTCAGAAATATAGAACATATCTTCATACTTTATGTAACTTGGAAGCCAGGGGTTTTCATAGGATTTGGATTAGCTGATGGATTTAGATAGAGTTTGATTTAATATTCCCCCTGCTATTTAGCTGTTTGTGCCTGATCGGAGCCTCATCTATAAAACTGTCAATAATAGTATAATAATAATCATCTGGTCAGGTGGCTGAGAAGACTACACGGGGTAAACCTGTGTACAGGTTTTACAGCGCAGTGACTGGTACCTACAGGCACTACAGGAAAATCTATAGCGCAGTGACTGGTACCTAATCTGTACCCCCCCAAAAAAAGAACCCCATGTTATTTTCAACCCTCTAAAACAGGAAGAGTAGTTTATGGATAACTAAGAACATTAGTACCAAAAAGAAAGTGTAATTTCTGCACTCTTCAAACCTCTTCATCAAGCTTATATTTTAAAGAGTCTTTGGGGTAGAATGTAAAAAGGCTTGAAGCTCTGGGATTTCAAAAGACTCAAAAGACTTTGGACTGACTTCCAGTTCTGATTATTATTTGGTGTAAAAATCTCCAAAATTGTTAACATCTTAGAGCCTTCATTTTCTTGAAAAAAAAAAAAAATACACATACATTTGAAAAAACTTAAAAATCCCGAAGCACACTGAAAATGCAAGGTCCTGTTCATTTATGATTAGTAAACCATTCAGAAAGACAAATAAACGGAATTTGCCCTCACCAAATATCCCATGCCTGAGAATGCCAAGGAATTTATAAAGGTTGTAAGCCCATGGAGGACAAAAGAGAACCTCGTGATGCCTATAATCAAAATACAGAGGCTGTGAATGAGTTGGAATCTTCCAGGGTGAGAACAAAACTGCTAAAAGGCTTAGTCCTGCAGAAAAAGGGCAACATGATGTTTCCTTTCTCAGTATGATTGGCAGCAACCTTCAAGTGTGGCAGCTCCGATTCCCTACTTCACTGTTGGCAGACACAGCCAAGCTTCAGAATCCTCATTCTTATTCTAATGGTCACCTCCCTGAAACCCTGTAAAATGCAGCTCCCCACCAGCATCTGTCACTCTCCTTTTGGCTTTCTAGGTCCATAGAGGGGTCATTCCCTTTAGAATAATAAGGGTAATGGGTTTGACAAATTTGCAGAAAGATGTGAGCAGAGGAGTGATGATTTTTCAGTATGGTTTTAAGGCAGTTATAAAATGAGGTATTGAGATTTTCAGGAATCTATGACTTCTTAGGTACAGCATATTACTGCTTTTCTTTATATGCTGACTTTAGTATCTCTGTGAGAGTGGGAGCAATGTCGTAAGTACTGTTCTTGACATACCTCCAACTTCCCTTCAGCACATAGCAAATATTTGCTATGACCTCCTGCCCAGAGGCCCAAAAGTGAAGCAATTGTTTTTGGTTATTTTGTTATTGTTGTTGTTGTTGTTTTTATGGAAGCTGCAATAAGAATTACCAGCATGAAAAACTGATTTATTACCAATCTCAATATGAAACTGATAAGATTTTTAAAAAATATTTATTATTTTTTAACACCAAGTAGATATAAAAGAATATTTATAACATGTGTAAACTATGAAGAATACCAAGACTACAAAAACTCATGTATCTACCACCCAGCTCCCTAAGGACCTTGCACATGGACCCATGCCTATCTTTCTCCAATGTAGAAAATTGTTATTCTAAATTTTGTTAATCATTTACTTTTTAAGGTATTACTGCATATATTTGAGTGGCATTTGAATTTCTTGCATGTTTTTACAATTTATATAAATAGAATCATATATTATGATTTTTTCTAGGCCCTGGGTTTTGTTTTTTTTTTGTTTGTTTTTGTTTTGAGACACAGTCGTGCTCTGTCACCCAGGCTGGAGTGCAGTGGTGCAATCTCGGCTCAGTGCAACTTCTGTTCATGTAATTGTCCCATGTTCAAGTAATTCTCCTACCTCAGCCTCCTGAGTAGTGGAGACTACAGGTACCCACCACCATGATGGGCTAATTTTTATATTTTTACTAGAGATAGGGTTTCACCACTTTGGCTAGGCTGATCTTGAACTCCTGACCTCACGCGATCCGCCGGCCTCAGCCTCCCAAAGTGCTGGGATTATAGGCATGAGCTACCACGCCCAGCCCTAGACCTTGTTCTTTTTAATTCGATAGAAGTTTCCTGAAATATATGTATTGTTCTGCAATTCATTTTTCCTTGCCATATTCTGTTCTACTCCTGAAGGATATGTGGCATGTCCAGTTCTTGCTACTACAAATTTCACTTATGAACATTCTTGTCAGTGATACCCAGTGAGCATGCACAAGGATTTTCTAGGATATGGACTTAGGAATACAAGTTCTACATCATACGTAGGTAGGTACACATTCAATATTTCTAGATAATACCAAATGCCTTTCCAATACAGTGGTACTATTTTTCACTCCCTACCACTGTGACAATTGTTGCTGCTCTATATACTTGCCAACATTTGTTTTCATTTGGCTTTTTATATACTTTGAGGATTTGCTGAATTGAAATGGCATTTTATTGTCTTTATGAATTTGAATTTCCTGATTACTAGTGAAAACTATTTTCTAAGGTTTCTATTTGGGTTTTCTTATTTGTGAAGGACCTATTTAACATCTTTGCTCACTTTTCTACTTAGTTTCCTTTGTATTTAATTGTAGGTCTCTTTATTTTGGAAAATAGTCTGAGAGTAGCATATGTATCTTGTCTCAGCTCATTCTTTTCACTACATTTTGATATTTTTGATAAATAAATTATCTGGATTTTATTACAGGTGAAGTTATTCATTTTCTCCTTTACGTTTGTGCTCTGCATGTCTATGAGTGTGTTGGTAATACATAGTTGCCTGCCCGTAGTCAGCAGGTATTCTCTTATAGTGTCCTCTAAACAGTTTGAGGTATTGCTTTTCAAATGTCAGTCTTTAATCCACTTGGAATTAATTTTGTGTATAGTGGAAGGTAGTGGCAGCATATCATTATTTCCATATAAATAATCAATTTTTCCTGTAATTTCTATTGAAAAGTCTAACATTTGCCACCAGAAAAATACCAGGTTAGTCATAATAAACCAAGTGTCCTTATATGTATATGTCAGGTTTTGGCATCTCTATTCTACTTCATAGGTGGATGTTTTATTCCCTTACTGGTGCCACACCTTCTTATTCACTATTTTTTATAATAATCATAACAATATCAGCCTCCCAACACTACACATTTGTTCTTTTTGGGGACAGTTGGTCATTCTTGATTATTTGCTCTTCTACAAATACTTGAGGATTAGCAGGACAAGTTTCATACAATGGAACAGCGATACAGAGGATATACATCAAATAGCTTTTTCTTTGTAACTAACAACTGCAAACAATTGATTTACAAGCATTTACTTAGCTCATAATCTGTGGTTGGCCAAATGGGACTGAAGTCAGTTGAATGGTCCTTTTGGTCCAAGGCACGCTGTGAGATAATTAAGAAATAGTAGCAATATTGTGATCGGAAGTGCAGTTAAATTTGTAGTAGATATTTATTGCTGCATTAAAAAGCCACCCTAAAAGTTAAAGGCTTAAAATAATAATAAACGTTTACTTTCTTGTACAATATCATGGTAAGAAATTTTGAAATGACATGGTGGTTCTGGCTGAGGACTCTATGTTGTTGAAATGAAGGTGTTGCCAGGGTACAGTCATCTTGATGCTTGACTGTAGCTTCACAGAGGCTTCCCATGAGGCTCACTTGTGTGGCTGGCAAGGTGGGGCTGGCTGTTGGACACCTGAGTTCTGCATCATATGGATCATTTCAAAGGGCTACGTGGCTGTCATCACAATGGGCATCTGGCTTCCGTAAAAGCAATTATTCTGAGAGAGCAAGGTGAAAGCTTCAATGTGTATTGTGAATGAGCTATGAGGTTATATTCTGTAATTCCCACAATATCCCATTGGTTACACAGATGATCCCTCTTCTATAGCGATGGGAATTGAAGAGGGCATACATACTAGGTGGTAGAAATCACTGAGAGCAATCTTGGAGAATGTCTTCTACAGTCTCTTTGTTTGGGGTGAAACATAAATTACAGTAATTCTATATTTCATGATAAACAAAAAGCTTTGAGATTTGAAAATACAGATATAATTAAAGACAGATTTATATCAGCGAGAAGGAGAAACAAGAAAACTACTTTTTATTTCTAAATGTCTTACTCAGATTGTCATTTTAAAATACTCTATTATAGCCTGACTTCTCTGTAAAGAATTATTTACACGTATATTTCAATCCTCATGACTACCCTTTTAAGTAAATATTCATAATTTCATTTTGAAGTTGAAGAAACAATTAAGAGTTCTTGTGTCACTTGTTCAAATGTATATAGCTACCAACTGGCAGAAGCGGGCTTCTAATCCTGACATATTAGTCTGCATATCTCCTGAGTTTTCCACATAACAGACTGTCCAGTGAATATGTAAGAGGAATTTGTTGGCATCCCCAGATAGAAGTATTAGGAATACATTTCTAGGTACAAATTTTCTAAAGGGCATGCTCACTTGTTCTGTCCAAATTTCAAATAAATAGCAGAACTTCAAATATTGCTTAAGAGTCATCTAGTTAGGAACTTAGTCTGCCCTCTACAATACCAGAAGGAATTAAATTAGATCAGAACTTTAAAAGAAATAATGGCCGGGCACAGTGGCTCATGCCTATCATCCCAGCACTTTGGGAGGCTAAGGTGGGTGGACCACCTGAGCTCGTGAGTTCAAGAGCAGTCAAGCCAACATGCCGAAATCTAATCTCTACTAAAAAAAAAAAAAAAAAATTAGCCAGGCATTGTGGCATGTGCCTGCAGTCCCAGCTACTCCGGAGACTGAGGCAGGAGAATCATTTGAACCCAAGAGGCTGAGGTTGCAGTGAACCAAGATCACACCACTGCACTCCAGCTTGGGCAACAGAGTGAGACTCCATCTCAATTAAAAAAAAAAGAAAGAAAGAAAGAAAGAAAGGAACTTATATGAAATAACAAACGATCTATTGAAATAAATATGACTTTGGGATGAATGCTCTTTGGTTTATTAATCTTGTTCTCAAATATATTGAATAATTACAATATATATTATTCTAGTCTGGTATGTTTCTGGTGCAAACCAAAATCTCTTTGTAAAGGTTTTTTAAGGTGGTCCTGAGACAGTATCTTACCCTTGCTATGCTTATTCTTCCTTCTCTATAATTACATTTGTATTTTTCACACTGTCTTGGTAAATTTTTATATTAATGTTAATATATTAATTACATGGGTCAGCATTCTTGTAAATATTGTCTATTTGTAAGTTTTTCTAGAAATAGCTTTTTATGAAAATTATATTTCTGTTCCCATGAACTACAATTCAAGATTAGATTTTGGGTGAGGACACAGTCAAACCATATTACTTACCTTTTTCAAAAATATTTTGTGGCATGTAGGTTTAACTTTTAGTTCTTTAAAGCTTCCTACATATAGGTTAGCTATGGGATGTGTTAGCTATGGGATCTGGGGGAAATCCACTAAGTGAAAATCAAAGCGTTTTAAGTAAAAAATCAAAATGTTATTTGAACCAAAATGAAAATACAATATATTCAAGAAAATAATGTTAGCAACTGAGAAAATATTGGTTTGAGATACATTCCTTTTCAAAAGATACCTATTACTTAAAGCAAGAAAAATGCAGAGCATTTGTCAATGATATTGCAAGAAAACTTTAATTAAGTCAGTAACTTCATCAATCCTCCTTAGAAATTCCTTTATAATTTCAAGTGACAACAATGTATCCTTGCCTTTAGCCCTCCTGTGTTATTAGATGTGGTTATTTTGTACAATTACCACACTACTCTGCAAGGAAGTTTGCATTTTAGTTTAAGGGTTTTAGCTTTTATTGCAAATGTTAATGCAACATTAAAATTCAGCATTTAAGTTCCCAGGAGAAAGGAAATGCAAAGGGCAAGTTCCTGATGTGATTAATTTGTTATTCTATCTTAGGCTTCTCATTAGGACATGCATTTATGTTTCCAACTTATAAATTAAAAAGCATTAAACCCAGTTCTTTCTTTCATCATTTTACTCAAAGGGGAGAACATCCTCCGTTACTATCTATGGTACAAAGTTTTTTTTTTTTTTTCTAACTCTGAATCTACAAATTATGTTTCTTTTCTATTCACAGATTTCTCTGGTTCTTTATTCAGGTCATGTCTATCTACTATCAAGCAAACTAGTACAAAAGTAATGTTTATCAAACTATTCACTTTTATATCCATAACACATAAATATAATCTTATATTTTCTGTTTACAAAAATTCTACATATGTATTATAAATGATGACTGCTGCCTCTATAAAACAGTCTCTCTACCATAACCTGAATTATTTCTAATAACCAATTTATACATTTTTAAATACTTTACTGTTCTAAAATTTGATCAATAACTGGGGAAGATAAGATAGCTCCTGTTTTGGGTATGAGTATACCAAAATAAGGTCATGGACTTGGGTGTTGTAAAATCTGAGGTTCGGTCCATTCCAAGATGACCAAATAGGAACAGCTCCCATCTGCAGCTCCCAGTGTGATTGATGCAGAAGACGGGTGATTTCTGCATCTCCAACTGAGGTACCTGGTTCATCTCACTGGGACTGGTCAGAAAGTGGGTGCAGCCCACGGAGGGCAAGCCAAAACAGAGCAGGGCGTCACTTCACCCGGGAAGCGAAAGGGGTCGGGGGATTTCCCTTTCCTAGCCAAGGGAAGCTGTGACAGTCTGTACCAGGAAAATCGGGACACTGCCACCTAAACACTGCACTTTTCCAGTGGTCTTAGCAAATGGCACACCAGGAGATTTTATCCCACGCCTGGCTCAGCGGGTCCCACACCCACAGAGCCTTGCCCACTGCTAGTCTCAGATCATATTGCGAGGCAGCAAGCCTGACTAGGGGAGGAGCATCCACAATTGCTGAGGCTTGAATAGGTAAACAAAGCAGCTGGGAAGCTCGAACTGGGTGGAGCCCACCTCAGCTCAACGAGGCCTGCCTGCCTCTGTAGACTCCACCTCTGGGGGCAGGGTATAGCTGAACAAAAGGCAGCAGAAACTTCTACAGACTTAAATGTCCCTGTCTGACAGCTCTGAAGAGAGCAGTGGTTCTCCCAGCAGAGTGTTTGAGCTCTGAGAATGGGCAGACTGCCTCCTCAAGTGGGTAGCCTAACTTGGAGACACCTCTCAGTAGGGGCCAACAGACACCTCAAACAGCCGGGTGCCCCTCTGAGACTAAGCTTCCAGAGGAAATATTAGGCAGCAATATTTGCTGTTCTGCAATATTTGCTGTTCTGCAGCCTCTGCTGGTGATACCCAGGCAAACAGGGGCTGGAGTGGACCTCCAGCAAACTCCGACAGACCTGCAGCTGAGGGACCTGACTGTTAGAAGGAAAACTAACAAACAGAAAGGAATAGCATCAACATCAACAAAAAGGATATCCACACCAAAACTCCATCTGTAGGTCACCATCATCAAAGACCAAAGGTAGATAAAACCACAAAGATGGGGAGAAACCAGAGAAGAAAAGCTGAAAATTCTAAAAACCAGAGAGTCCCATCTCCTCCAAAGGATCCGAGCTCCTCGCCAACAACGGAACAAAGCAGGATGGAGAATGACTTTGACGAGTTGACAGAAGTAGGCTTCAGAAAGTCGGTAATAACAAACTTCTCCGAGCTAAAGGAGGATGTTCAAACCCATCGCAAAGAAGCTAAAAACCTTGAAAAAAGATTAGACGAATAGCTAACTAGAATAAACAGTGTAGAGAAGACCTTAAATGACCTGATGGAGCTGAAAACCATGGCATGGGAAGTACGTGATGCATGCACAAGCTTCACTAGCCAATTTGATCAAGTGGAAGAAAGGGTATCAGTGACTGAAGATCAAATTAATGAAATGAAGTGAGAAAAGAAGTTTAGAGAAAAAAGAGTAAAAAGAAACGAACAAAGCCTCCAAGAAATATGGGACTATGTGAAACGACCAAAGCTACATTTGATTGGTGTACCTGAAAGTGACAGGGAGAATGGAACGAAGCTGGAAAACACTCTTCAGGATATTATCCAGGAGAACTTCCCCAACCTAGCAAGGCAAGCCAACATTCAAATTCAGGAAATACAGAGAACACCACAAAGATACCCCAAGACACATAATTGTCAGATTCACCAAGTTTGAAATGAAGGAAAAAATATTAAGGGCAGCCAGAGAGAAAAGTCGAGTTTCCCACAAAAGGAAGCCCATCAGACTAACAGCAGATCTCTCAGCAGAAAACCTACAAGCCAGAAGAGAGTAGGGGTCAATATTCAACATTCTTAAAGAAAAGAATTTTCCACCCAGAATTTCATATCCAGCCAAACTAAGCTTCATAAGTGAAGGAGAAATAAAATCCTTTACAGACAAGCAGATGCTGAGAGATTTTGTCACCACCAGGCCTGCCTTACAAGAGCTCCTGAAGGAAGCACTAAACATGGAAAAGAACAACTACTACCAGCCACTGCAAAAACATGCCAAATTGTAAAGACCATGGATGCTAGGAAGAAACTGCATCAACTAACAGGCAAAATAACCAGCTAACATCATAATGACGGGATCAAATTCACACTTAACAATATTAACCTGAAATGTAAATGGGCTAAATGCCCCAATTAAAAGACACAGACTGGCAAATTGGATAAACAGTCAAGACCCATCAGTGTGCTGTATTCAGGAGACCCATTTCACATGCAGAGACACACATAGGCTCAAAATAAAGGGATAGAGTAAAATCTACCAAGCAAATGGAAAACAAAAAAAAAGCAGAGGTTGCAATCCTAGTCTCTGATAAAACAGACTTTAAAGATTGAAAGAGACAAAGAAGGCCCTTATATAATGGTAAAGGGATCAATTCAACAAGAAGAGCTAACTATCCTGAATATATATGCATCCAATAATACAGGAGCACCCAGATTCATAAAGCAAGTCCTGAGAGAGCTACAAGGAGACTTAGACTCCCACACAATAATAATGGGAGATTTTAACATCCCACTGTCAATATTAGACAGATCAACAAGACAGAAGGTTGAAAAGGATATCCAGGACTAAAACTCAGCTCTACACCAAGCAGACCTAATAGACATCTACAGAACTCTCCACCCCAACAGAATATACATTCTTCTCAGCACCACATTGCACTTGTTCCAAAATTGACCACATAGTTGGAAGTAAAGCACTCATCAGCAAATGTAAAAGAACAGAAATTACAACAAACTGTCTCTCAGACCACAGGGCAATCAAATTAGAACTCAGGATTAAGAAACTCACTCAAAACCACACAACTACATGGAAACTGAACAACCTGCTCCTGAATGACTACTGGGTACCTAACAAAATGAAGGCAGAAATAAAGATGTTCTTTGAAACCAATGAGAACAAAGACACAACATACCAGAATCTCTGGGACACATTTAAAGCAGTGTGTAGAGGGAAATTTATAGCACTAAATGCCCACAAAAGAAAGCAGGAAAGATCTAAAATTGATGCCCTAACATCACAATTAAAAGAACTAGAGAAGCAAGAGCAAACACATTCAAAAGCTAGCAGAAGGCAAGAAATAACTAAGATTAGAGCAGAACTGAAGGAGATAGAGACATAAAAAAAACCCTTCAAAAAATCAGTGAATCCAGGAGTTGATTTTTTGAAAAGATCAACAAAATTGATAGACCTCTAGCAAGACTAATAAAGAAGAAAAGTGAGAAGAATCAACAGATGCAATAAAAAATGATAAAGGGGATGTCACCACCGATCCCACAGAAATGCAAACTACCATCAGAGAATACTATAAATACTTCTGTGCAAACAAACTAGAAAATCTAGAAGAAATGGATGAATTCTTGGACACATACACCCTCCCAAGACTAAAACAGGAAGAAGTTGAATTGCTGAATAGACCAATAACAGGCTCTGAAATTGAGGCAATAATTAATAGGTTACCAACCAAAAAAAAGTCCAGGACCAGATGGATTCACAGCCGAATTATACCAGAGGTACAAAGAGAAGCTTGTGCCATTCCTTCTGAAACTATTCCAGTCAATAGAAAAAGAGGGAATCCTCCCTAACTCATTTTATGAGGCCAGCATCATCCTGATACCAAAGCTGGGCAGAGACACAACAAAAAAAGAGAATTTTAGACCAATATCCCTGATGAACATCGATGCAAAAATCCTCAATAAAATACTGGCAAACCAAATCCAGCAGCACATCAAAAAGCTTATCCACCAAGGTCAAGTTGGCTTCATCCCTGAGATGCAAGGCTGGTTCAGCATAAGCAAATCAATAAATGTAATCCATCACATAAACAAAACCAAAGACAAAAACCACATGATTATCTCAATAGGTGCAGAAAAGGCCTTCAACAAAATTCAACAGCCCTTCATGCTAAAGACTGTCAATAAACTAGGTATTGATGGAACGTATCTCAAAATAATAAGAGCTATTTATGACAAACCACAGCCAGTATCATACTGAATGGGCAAAAACTGGAAGCATTCCCTTTGAAAACTGGTGCAAGACAGGGATGCCCTCCCTCACCACTCCTATTCAACATAGGGTTGGAAGTTCTGGCCAGGGCACTCAGGCAAGAAAAAGAAATAAAGGATATTCAATTAGGAAAAGAGGAAGTCAAATTGTCCCTGTTTGCAGATGACATGATTGTATATTTAGAAACCCCATCGTCTCAGCCCAAAATCTCCTTAAGATGATAAGCAACTTCAACAAAGTCTCAGGATACAAAATCAATGTGCAAAAATCACAAGTATACTTATATGCTTATAACAGACAAACAGAGGGCCAAATCATGAGTGAACTCCCATTCACAATTGCTACAAAGAGAATAAAATACCTAGGAATCCAACTTACAAGGGAAGTGAAGGACCTCTTCAAGGAGAACTACAAACCACTGTTCAATGAAATAAAAGAGAGGTTACAAACAAATGGAAGAACATTCCATGCTCGTGGATAGGAAGAATCAATATCGTGAAAATGGCCATACTGCCCAAGGTAATTTAGAGATTCAATGCCATCCCCATCAAGCTACCAATGACTTTCTTCACAGAATTAGAAAAACTACCTTAAAGTTCATATGGAATCAAAAAAGAGCCTGCATTGACAAGACAATCCTAAGCCAAAAGAACAAAGCTGGAGGCATCAGGCTACCTGACTTCAAACTATACTGCAAGCCTACAGTAACCAAAACAGCATGGTACTGGTACGAAAACAGAGATATAGAGCAATGGAACAGAACAGAGGCCTCAGAAATAACACCACACATCTACAACCATCTGATCTTTGACAAACCTGACAAAAACAAGCAATGGGGAAAGGATTCCCTATTTAATAAATCATGCTGGGAAAACTGGCTGGCCATATGTAGAAAGCTGAAACTGGATCCCTTCCTTGCAACTTATACAAAAATTAATTCAAGATGGATTAAAGACTTAAATGTTAGCCCTAAAACCATAAAAACCCTAGAAGAAAACCTAGGCAATACCATTCAGGACATAGGCATGGGCAAGGACTTCATGACTATAACACCAAAAGCAATGTCAAGAAAAGCCAAAATAGACAAATGGGATCTAATTAAACTGAAGAGCTTTGGCACAGCAAAAGAAACCACCATCAGAGTGAACAGGCAACCTACAGAATGGGAGAAAATTTTTGCAATCTACCCATCTGACAAAGGGCTAATATCCAGAATCTACAAAGAACTGGAACAAATTTACAAGAAAAAAAAATCAAATAACCCCATGGAAATGTGGGCAAAGGATATGAACATACACTTCTCAAAATAAGACATTTATGCAGCCAACAGACACAGGAAAAAATGCTCATCATCACTGGTCATCAGAGAAATGCACATCAAAACCACAATGAGATACCATCTCACACCAGTTAGAATGGTGATCATTAAAAAGTCAGGAAACAACAGGTGCTGGAGAGGATGTGGAGAAATAGGAACACTTTTACACTGTTGGTGGGAGTGTAAACTAGTTCATCCATTGTGGAAGACAATGTGGCAATTCATCAAAGATCTGGAACTAGAAACACCATTTGTCCAGTGATCCCATTACGTGGTATATACCCAAAGGATTATAAATCATGCTACTATAAAGACACATGCACACATATGTTTGTTGTGGCACTATTCACAATAGCAAAGACTTGGAACCAACCCATATGTCCATCAATGATAGACTGGATTAAGAAAATGTGGCACATATACACCACGGAATACTATGCAGGCATAAAAAAGAATGAGTTCATGTCCTTTGCAGCCACGTGGATGAAGCTGGAAACCATCATTCTCAGCAAACTATGGCAAGGACAGAAAACCAAACACTGCATGTTCTCACTCATAAGTGGAAATTGAACCATGAGAACACTTGGACACAGGGCGGGGAACATCACACACCCGGCCCTGTCGTGGCTTGAGGGGATGGGGGAGGGATAGCGTTGGGAGAAATACCTAATGTGAATGACGAGTTAATGGGTGCAGCAAACCAAAGAGGCACATATATACATACGTAACAAACCTCCACGTTGTGCACATGTATCCTAGAACTTAAAGTATAATAATAAAAAAACTAAAATAAAAACAAAATCTGAGTTTGAAACTGAAGATCAACTGAATAGTTAATTTGAGACCTTGAGCAAGTTACTTTATCTTGGCTTTCTCATCAGTAGAATGGGATTACTGTGGAAACTACCACATTGGATTGTAATGAGGATTAAATCACATAATGTGTTTGTGTGTGTGTGTATGTGTGTAAAGGCCTGTAATTATTCCTAAATATACAGTTAACTTTTACATTAGTATTGTTCTGGATTCCTCTTACATTTAATATTAATATCAAATTTTTGGAATTATTTAGTTTTTAAGATGTTTTCTCTTCAATTGTATTAAATTTAAATTCAATATTTACAGAAAGAATTGATACATTTCAGCCCTTAAAATAGTGCAGTTTCCAGAAGGAAAGTGTACAAAATATTATTATAAATGATATTGTTAATAATAGCTAATATTTATTGAGCACTTACAATGTATCATATCAGGCACTAGCCTAAGCACTTGACGTATGTTACTTTAATTAATCCTGATCATAACCCCATGATACAGAAATTATTGTGAACTCTAATTTTCAGTTGAGGAAACTGAGGTCCGGAGAGATTATTGCCTAGGATTATTCCATCAAAAACTAACAGGGTTAGTTTCCCGGGTTTCTTGCTCTTCACCACTACACTCTGTAATCACTACAGTCTATGCAGAGTTACCTAATGTATTGGACTAAAACCTACCATGGTTGGAGATGAGATTTCAGGGAGACCATTTTGATGTGATTATTTAAATGACTAAAGGAACCAAGAAGTCAAAAGTGAGTGAAAGGTTGTGAGCTGGAGGAAGAATGTCTTTCTCCATTTCTTTGTAAATTTTTGTTTTGCAGGTCTCTCATTGAACACCTCAAATATAAAAATATAAATACAATAGTCCCTCAGAATCCACAGGTGATTGGTTCCAGGAAACCCAGCCTTCTCTGATATGAAAATGAAGGGATGCTCAAGTCCCTTATATAAAATGATGTAGTATTTGCATATAACCTGTGCATATTCATTCATAGACTTTAAATCATCTGCATATTACTTATAATACCTAATACAATGTAAATGCTCTGTAAATATTTGTTATACTGTATTTTTTATTTGTATTATTTTTTGTAGTTGTATTGTTACATTTTGCTGTCCTCCACTCTCCCCACCATCTAATATTTTCAGCGCATGATTGGTTGAATCTGAGAATGCAAAACTAGTGAATATGGAGGGTAACCATAACTGAGCATTTAAATATCAAATACATTTTCTATGCAATTATTCTTTTAATGACTTAATCTTTTTATTAAAATGGTAAGATTAATTACTAAAACACACAATGTTAACATTGATATAGCAAACATAGAGGAAAAAATATCAACATTACAGGACAATTAGGCATCTTATATGCCGATTATTAACTGTTATCAACTACTGCGTAATTTAGTCTCAGCTCATCTCCAGGCTTGAATGAAACAAATATTCTAAGTCACCATGACTAGTAGGACTTGCTTTTGCCTTGCTTTTCTGTTAAATTGGAGTTTGCCTTAAATACAATATTTTTTCTCCTAATTAACTAAATACTGTGATTATCTCAATCATTCTCCAAGTGTGTAAGGCTGTAAAGCTCTCTCTGTCTCTCTCTTTTGAGATAGGGTCTCACTCTGTCACCTAGGCTGGAGTTCAGTGCTGCCATCAACCTCCAGGGCTCAAGTGATCCTCCCCACTCCACCTCCTGAGTAGCTGGAACTACAGGCACCCATTACCACATTCAGCTAATTTTTTATATTTTTTATATTTTTGTAGAGACGTGGTTTTGCCAATGTAAGTTCTGAACACAAGTTACATTTTCTTTTTTATGTAGATGGAAAAATTTCACGGCTACTTGACCATTTCTTTGAATTTAGACTTTGCCATAAAAGTTAGATGAGGGTTTTACAATTGTTGTGTTATTACATTTTGGACCTGATCATCATTTTTTTGTGAGGGCCTGTCTTGGGCATTGTAGGATATTTGGCATCATCCCTGGCCTCTTACCCACTAGGTACTAATAGCGCCTTCCCCTTATACAACAACCAAAAATATCTCCAGACACTGCCTAATGCCCCCTGAGGTATAAAATTGCCCCCTATTAAAAAATATTATTATTCTATTAATATTTCTAATTTCTGTATTTCTTAACTTTATTCTTATTTTAAAGCTAATATGTTCTCTGAAACTATGGCTATGGAATCCTAGCTTTTGATATTGATTCTGTGGCCAGTAATTTCCTAAGGCACAAATCACATAATCTTATGACATTTTAAAATACAGACTTTTAAATCCTTTTCACACAGGGGGATGAAGGAGTGGGGTCCAAAGATATTGAATTCAATGTTAAGCAACTTCCATATGGAGGACGTCAAAGTGGAAATGCTCAGTAGGCAGTTACAGATGCAGAGGCAAATTTAGAAAGTAGCTCAAAGATGGAGATGCAGGTTGATGGGTAGTCTTGGTGGTGATATTGTTTGAAGATGTGAGACTGTGTATGGTAATTGAAGAAAACCATGTAATCAGAAAAGAGCAGAAATCAGCTTGGCCAAGACAAAATTGTGCTCATGAGGACAGGGAAACATGGACGCCATCTTGTTAGTGACCTCTCATCAATGTTGTCATAATCTTGACTTGTTCTAATCTTAATGGAAAGGATATTTTTTATGTAATTTGTATAATTAAAAGCAAATGGTAGCAATTTTAATGAGAAAGGAATAAAAGAAGGAAAGAGAAAATGGAAAGATGAAAGCAGGGAAAGAAGCAAAGGAGAGAGGTGGCAAACTTAAATCAGAAGTTAGGCAAAGGTTTAAAAGTTTGGTAAGAGAGACTTTTTTCATAAAATCTCTAGACTGATTATTTAGTCAAATTAATTGATCTTCTGGAAGCTAATTAGAGTGCCCTGTTGCTATGGTGTTGGATAAAAGCAACCATATTTTACATTATACTACATTTTTCTTTGATACTCTTGCTTGATAAACAGTAAAAATACAAATTATATATATATACTTGTGTGACCATCAACAGCTTTCAAAACTCCCAAATGCATAATATTCTCCCTTTTGTGAAACCTTTTAATAATAGTAACGTCTGTTTTGTAAAACAGATATGGTATCACTTAATAATTTTATGTATGACTATTGAAATGGAATAAATTTTTTTAAAATATTTGGGTGTATTATATTTACTAATTATTTCAAATGTGACTATTATACAGTTATCTTGTCTAACATCCTTTAAGAAATTCACTATTTCTAATTGTAGAATAGTTACCTCACAAATTCAAACCATGTAGCACATTTTCCAGAAGAGATAAACTAGAAACATTTTTCTTATTGGAAAGTAAAATGATTTTTTAAATTTCTGTTTCACTCATCTAAATAACAAATCATTAAATAGGGTGACTCTATTATGCAGGCTTTGTAATACTGGATAATTTTAGCTTGAAGGATTTTTCATGTTGGTTACACTAATTTCACATTTCCAGGAGAATAAACTTTCTTGAAAAGAATAATAAAATCTTTATGTTTTATATATATATATATTTCATGTATATATGTATACATATATAAAATATATATATGAAAACATATTCCTATGATAAATATGAAACCCATCCCCAAATATATCATTTACATGACATGGAAATGCCCACACGTTTGCCATCACATAAGTACGGACTTTTCAGACTTCCAGGACAAATAAAAATATAAATTGTTTTTTATTTTTTTTCCACCTTCACTGGATGTGCTGCAAATACGCTTTATTACATATTTTTCATGTTGTTAAACATTAGTATCTATTGAGAAAATAAAAAGAAGGTAGTGCATCTTTGAATCTCTTTTGAGCATTTCTTTTACATGGTGTGTCATATTAATGCTGCCCTACAGGGAAATAATCAAAGAACTTTAATATAATACTGTGGTTCGGAAAGGAAACATGACAGCAGTGCATTACTGCAAATTGAATTTAATGAGCTTCTTAGCACTGGGAGAGTGACTCCTTGAAACAGAAGCTGTTCAATTGAGATCTTTTTGATTATAATTAAATCTTTTACATTTACCACAGGGACAAGTTTAATCTTAATTAGACACTTTTATGGGAGGTGAAGCCATATGATGTATATTTTCTTGATCATATAGTGAAAGATTCATAATGTAATGCATAAAAACAAAGTGGTCACCCCTTCAAGGGAAAAACGAAAATATGTACTCTCCAGTTTCTTTGAGGGGAGTGAGTTGGAAAGAGCGAAGTCAATAATTTGAGTTTGGCATGGATATATGCATATGCATAAAGGGATGAATAAACAAAAATAGTACTTATTTTATTTTATTTTCTGTGGCTTTTTCTAAAATACAGAAATCATACTTTGGGTAAATGATTGTTAAATTAGGTGTCAAAGATTTTTGTTAAAATGGATCCAATACAGAGATATTTGTTTTAGTGGAAAGTGCATTTGTATGAGGTTCCATGGTGTAATGGTGAGCACTCTGGACCCTGAATCCAGAAAGTGCACTTGAAGCAGATTTTCAAGACAATCATTTAGCTAACTTTGTCCTTTGTTAGCTTTTTAATCTTGGGCAAGTAACAGAGTCTCCCTGCACCACATTCCATTCCTCCTAAAGTAGGACAAATGTCCCCCAGTTAGAGTTCCTGTGATAATCACTTGAGATAAGAATGTGAAATTACATTGCAAACTTTAGATTGATATATAAATTTAACCTATTAGTATTAACAGAAATACATTGTGATTGTGATATTTCTATAATTTATGCCATAGGGTGCTAAGATTTTACCTTTTTAAGCATTCTTATTTTATACACCAAAATGCTTAGACAGAGGTAAATGAATATTACAATAAATGAAAAAATACAATAAAAACCTGCGTGTGTTTCTGTAATTGATATTTTCCCAACCATGAAATATCCAAAGACTGTCTCACGTTTAAACAAAATAACATGACAGGAAAGTAGATGGCTCGAGGGATTCCTTGAGGATTAATCTGTTTGGCGTTAGACACAGCTGTACATTTTAGCTAAGTTATCTTCAGTCATCTAAGACGTTCAATCATTTCCCAGAAATTGAAACATTCAAAAGTCCCCCTCCCCTTAACTTCACCCGGGAATGTTTGCTGAAAGGATGACATAGAGGGCACCCAATAGGAAAGACTGGATATATTCTGAATTTTAAAGCATTATAACACATTTTTTCTCCTCTACTAAGAAGCTGTGTAATTTAAAATTAAAAAAGACTTCTAAACTAAGTTATTAAGAATTCTATGTCTTTGTGTATATTTAATTGAAGACTCTAATTTTAGTTTTAGTCACCGAAATAAGATATCTTTATAAGAGTGATGTGTGTGTTGTGAATATCCTACAGACTAAAATATTAGAGCTCCTTACTAGACTGTCAATCATGCAAGTAATATTAACTCCATCAATATTCCTTAGGGAAACGTGTATGTAAATAGAAATTATATGTGTGTGTGTGTATTTCTTTGTTGTGTCACCAGCACCTAGCACATAGTTGCTGTTACTTTTTTAATAAACAAATTAATTAAATGTTTTACTGCTGTCATTAAATGAATACACTTGTAGAGATTCCATCAAATTTCTCTTCATCTAAAGTCGAGTCAACATGGCATTGGGAAAAATGCACCAAAATGGGATGGCATATATGTGATTTTGGACAGATCATAGCTCCTCTCTTAGTTGTTTCCTCATTCTCATAATAAACATGTTAGACATGATAAACTGGGTTAGCCTTCAATATAAATGATTTTTAAAAAATAGTAGGCTTTCTACACCTATTAATGAAGGGATTTTTTGTGCTGAGCTGAATCAATCTCTGTTTAGCCATTTGGCGTGTACCAGACGTAATCTGAGATGTTTCATTACTAATTCATTTCAAATAAATTTTGTAATAGGTCTATGACTATCAAGAGAATAAAGAAAATTCGCTACATATTCCTTATAATTTTTAATGTAAGATTCTCCTGAAAATCTTTCAAAACTTTTCAAAATTTAGATGATTGTAATGAACGGATTTAGGTATAGCAGGAATACCAAGGCTTCAGTTGTATCGTCTGCAGAGTTATGTATGTGTGTGGTGGGACAGGGGATGAGGAAAGGGTGAATAGTAGGAAACTCATCCATGAAAACCTGCCTTTTGTGTTGGATATGGTTTGGCTGTGTTCCCACCCAAGTCTCATCTTGAATTGTAGCTCCCATGATTCCCATGTGTTCTGGGAGGGTCCAGTGGGAGAAAATTGAGTCATAGGGGCGGTTTCCCCCATGCTGTTCTCCTGGTAGTGAATACGTCTCAAGAGACCTGACGGTTTTATAAAGGGTTTCCCCTTTCACTTGATTCTCATTTCTCTCGTCTGCCTCAATGTAAGATGTGCCTTTCATCTTCCACCATGATTATGAGGCCTCCCCAGCCACGTGGAACTATGAGTTTATTAAACCTCTTTTTCTTCATACATTGCCCAGTCTTGGGTATGTCTTTATCAGCAGCAAGAAAATGGACTAATAAAGTATTTGTTTAACCCAATTTCCTTTTGACTTTTTAATTTTCTTCCCCTTCCTTCTTTCCAGGAACTTTCCCATTCTCTTCTTTTTCTCTTCTCCGTTTTTCCATTTTCCATTTGAAGATAAAGCAGAGGAAGGACAATAGGTGAGGCAAGACTGATTAGGATTTAACAAGGGGAAGAAAAAAAGGAAAAAAAAAATGCTCTTATTGACTCTGTCTTGACCAGAATTGGATTATTCTCCAAAATACAATGATTGCTAGTATAGAGAAGAATTAAAAGTTAGTAATAAGCGTATGAAGAAACCTCAACCTCAGTGTCAATATAAGAAATGTAAATTCTATTAATGAGATAACATTTTGTAACTTTCAAAAGAGAAAAGCTTTTAAAATAACAATAAATGACAAGAAAGTAAGGCAAAGGGGTCATTTCCTTGAACTGTACTGCATAACCATATGAAAAAGCAATTTTTAAATGTTCATTTGTTTTGATATTATTAAGTACTTTATTATGATTATAACCACATATGGGTAAAGATCTCTGTTCAGGAGTATTAAATGTAATTTTTTTTTTTTTTTTTTTGAGACAGAGTCTCACTCTGTTGCCCAGGCTGGAGGGCAGTGGTGCAATCTCTGCTCACTGTAAGCTCTGCCTCCCGGGTTCATGCCATTATCCTGCCTCAGCCTCCCCTGTAGCTGGGACTACAGGCGCCCGCCACCATGCCTGGCTAATTTTTTGTATTTTTAGTAGAGACGAGTTTCACCGTGTTAGCCAGGATGGTCTCTATCTCCTGACCTCATGATCCACCCGCCTTGGCCTCTCGAAGTGCTGGGATTACAGGTGTGAGCCATGGCACCCGGCCAATTTTTGTAAAATAACAGCAGGAGAAGTTGAACAAACTAAGGTCAAAAATAGCAGAATGGTAAATTTAATTGCATATCCATATGACAGATTATTATGTCATTGTTAAAACTGTGTTCTTAACCAATACTTAAAGGGAGTAAGCTAACTCTAAATTATTTAAAGAAAGTTATGCAGGTATGATCCATAGGTTGTAAAATAGATTTAGGAATCAGGGAATCAGATCCATATGTAGCATCATTAACAGACATCTCAAAGTGTTCAGATTTCCTCTGATTTTTCCTGTCTTGCTTCTTTTAGTATTCTCAAAATTTTTGATTAAAATGTTATTCCTTTCATAAAAAGAAAATAATGTATATCCAAAAAGTGCTTTTAGTGTGAAAGGCACTAGCATCTACATAATTTTTTTTGGATCCTTAAAATAGCCACTGTCCTTTCAGCCTCCTTGCGCTTTGAGTCTCCCATTACTCCCTAAGATCCAGTTCAAGGTCATTCTTTCATGAGGCTTTCGGTGAACCTGCCAGTCACACTTTTTCAGATGTTTTACTCATCTCAGTGCTTTCAAAGCATCTGACACACATATCTTCATTGAATAAAGGAACGAAGGACCCCATGAACAAAAATGTATATATGCAGTATGGAACAAGTACTATTTTCTTCATTTTATAGTTGAGAACTTGAGGCTGAGAGATTTCAGCCTATTTCCCAAATGTCGGATTAATGAAAAGGAGCTAAAACAGAAACTTCTTGACACCATACTTAGTGCTTCTTTCAATATTCTAATATTGAGACCATGAGGCCACAAGAGTCAATAAGAAGTTAATGAATCATCGTGTCTTTCCAGATTTTTCTCAGTTTGGGGAATACATTTGTTCTTGAAGTTGTTGGCTAATTCATATACATATAATACTCCATGTGCCTGTAGCAAAGGGTAGAATTTTGTTCTATTTCTTAGACTGCTTGTTGCAAAGGCACTAATTTAAAATGGTGAATGAGTATATATATATACTCAGATATATATATATATATATATATATATACACAGTGTATATATATGCACAGAGACAATTTTTCTGTGCTGCAATGTATAGGTGCAACATTGCCTGTGTTTTATTGGCTGCTGGGGGTATGTTTTCTCCTTAAAACAGACTGTCCCCATTAGCCTAAGACACTTTGTTGCCTTGTGGCACTTGGAACTTGAGTTCTGTAATGTTTCTGTATAGCCATGGGAGTCAATAAAAAGAAAAATACCACTACCACAACTCTCTGGCACTTCCAGGGAAATACATTATGAGTGTATAAATACAAAAACAGCATTTAGCTGCTATTACCTTCAGCAATATATATATGTATATATATAACCTCCAGCATATATATATATATGGTGTGTATACTCATATATATATACCATATACATACACTCATATATATACCACATATATATACACCATATATATATACTCATATATATACCACATATATATATACCATATATATATATATATATGTGGCATTGTGGTAGGGAAGATAATACCTCACCCCCAGAGATGTCTTGAAGTTGTTGGCTAATTCATATACATATAATACTTCATGTGCCTGTAGCAAATGATAGAATTTTGTTCTATTTCTTAGATTGCTTGTTGCATAGGCACTAATTTAAAATGGTGAATGAGTATATATATATATATATATACACACACTCATATATATATATACACACTCATATATACACACACACACACACACATATATATATACACACACACACCACATATATATATACTACATGTACATATATATGGTGGCATTGTGGTAGGGAAAATAATATCTCACCCCTAGAGATGTCTACTTCCCAATCTCTGAAACCTGTGAATATATTATCTTTCATGGAAAAAAAGACTATGAAGATGTGATTAAATTAAGAATATTGAGAAGGGGAGATTATTCTGGATTATCCAGATGAGCCCAGTGAGGTCATTGTCTCCTCGTAAGTAAAAGAATGAAGCAGGAGGGGCAGAGAAGGAGATGTAATGATGGGGTCAGAGTGATGCAATTGCTGGCTTTGAAGATGGAAGGGAGCTATGTGGGAAGGAATACAGGCAGCCTCTAGGTGCTAGAAGAGGCAAGGAAATTGATTCTCCCCTACAGACGCCAAACAGGAAAACAGCTGGTGCTGCCATCGTGACTTTAGCCCCCTTGAGACCCAGTTCAGACTTCTGACCTCCAGAACTGTAAGATAATAACTTTGTGTTGTGTTAACTTACTATGTTTTGGTAATTTGTTACATTAGCAATAGAAAATGAAAATAGAGCTGTTCCTTTTTCACTCAGGCCATTTTTCTTTCCCCTACCCCAGAATTCACAAACTAGTGCTAGTGACATATTAGCAATCAAAGGAGATGAGGTCTCTGCCTTTCTGAAACTGATGTTCTGGCAAAGAAAGATAATACACAAATAAAAATACACAAATATGTCAGAGGGATGGGTAAAAAAGTGAAAGTAAGTGATCAAACTAGTCCGAGTATACTTATTGGATTATAAAATACACAGAGCCAACATATACAAAATTTCCTCCCTTCATGGTGCCTCACCAGGATCTTCCTGATCACCACAAGCATAATGGATTATTTCCTCCACACTGTTCACTTAGCATTTTGTACAAGCCTCTTTATTGTACTGCATTAGAGTTGGTCCATCAGTTATTCAAATGGGGAGAAAACGTGTAATGTTTTATTGTATACTCTGTAGTTAGTACACAATATCTGCACAATAGATACTTAAGGCAAAAAATGACAGGAACAGAAGAGCTGAATATAAAGTCAGGAAATAAATATAGAAAAAAAAAGAAACAAACGGCTGGAAAAAATGGAAGACCGGAAGGAAGAGAAGGGGGCTACGATGATGATAAAAGAAAATAAGGAAGATTGAGATATGAGCAGAGTTATGTGGATGAACTTCACCCATCTTATTCCTAGAAACAAGCCAACCTATATCAATTTGTGCAGTGTGATGCTTATGAGACAATTTTTCTGTGCTGCAATGTATAGGTGCGACATTGCCTGTGTTTTATTGGCTGCTGGGAGTATGTTTTCTCCTTAAAACAGACTGTCCACATTAGCCTAAGACACTTTGTTGCCTTGTGGCACTTGGAACTT
Source organism: Homo sapiens (assembly GCF_000001405.40). NCBI lineage: Eukaryota > Metazoa > Chordata > Mammalia > Primates > Hominidae > Homo > Homo sapiens. The sequence goes on along the minus strand of NC_000011.10, from coordinate 40,694,634 downwards.
GAGTTCTGTAATGTCTCTGTATAGCCATGGGAGTCAATAAAAAGAAAAACAGCACCACCACAACTCTCTGGCACTTCCAGGGAAATACATTATGAGTGTATAAATACAAAAACAGCATTTAGCTGCTATTACCTCCAGCAAACAGGAATTCTGTTTCTCTGAATTATACTCATTGGTGGACTGTAATTGATTGCTGCTCTCAAATCATTTATTTTATAAAACTCAATAAAAGAAAGTGATGAAAATGTGCCAGATGATTTCCACAGAGGGTAAAAACGAAATAGCCAGGAAAGAAAGCAGCCTCGATTTCTATTCACTATTTATTTTCTCCAATGCTGTCCCAATTCTGGATGGAAGACTGTTCATTTCTCCTCAGTGGTTCCAGACCTAATGGGTAAAGCAAATTTCCCTGATGTTCTGTTTACCACATTCTTGTTTTTATTTCCTTTGATAAAGACCTATTGGTATTAAAGATTGCAGGAGGTTTATTTTACATTGTGATTCCAGTTCAATTACTTCCAGCTACATCGGTACGTGGCAGAAAAGAGCTTCAGAAGGTAACAGAGCTAGTATGCTTTGCCTTTCATCTCCCAGGTAGCAAATGCAATTGTTTTGTTTTTCACGGTCTCAATAAGACTAGATATCAGCAGTTTACACCCCGCAGGGCAAATCAGGATGCAGCATAAAGTGTGTGGAATTGCAATGTTGGCATTGATAGCAGAAAAGTAATAGCAGAGTGTGTCTGGACACAATGCGGCTTTTGGCAATGTCAACTGCTCACTCCCTGGTGGAGAATAGACTATGTCGTTGTGTCATTCCAACTCACCTTTTATTTTCCCTCCTCTTCCTTTACCTGGATAATTTTTTAAGATGAATTTATTCCTCCTTCCATGCCGCAGACACATTGTGATTCAATAGTTGGCTCTTTTGCTGTGCCTCTTGCTATGTGGCTCAAAATAACTCTTTTCAATAATCTCTCTTGACAAGAGAGTCTTGTTTATCTGGCTCACCTCTCTCCTAAGTCATTGTAGTAACTTCATAAATGTATTTAGCTGGTAACAACCTCACAGATTGTATATCCTTAAAGGTAGACGAGAAAAGAAATATAAAGAAAGTCTGCAGATTACCTACCCCCTGCAGAGCCCGGCCCTCACCCTACACACATGTACTTTGCTTCATTCAGATTTATTCCACAATTGACAAGATACACATTTCACTCAATCATCTTTAGCTAAAGGATGGCTGCCTTTAAAAACTCAATGTCTGTTATTGCCAAATTGTACAAATGGAATTCTAATCATTATATATGGCTATCAACTATTTTACCATTCTCTCTTTTCAAAAATCATTGTTTCCAATGTGATGAATTTAGTCAGACACTCAATTTTATTTTATTTTTATCTATCTCACTTCTTTATGAATGCTATCTGAAATGGCAGACCAGCATTTCCAGTGCCACACAACCAACTTTTCTTTTAACTGAGGTTTTATGTATGTAAGTGTGCAGAGGTGTGTGTGTGCGGTAAAAAACCAGAATCACGATACATTGCATAAAAATCTGCTACAGTGTATCCCAGAGATTATATTCATCTGGTGTCTGGCTGTGATATTATAGATGACTTCCAATTTTACTTTCTGTATTAATCTCATAGTTCTGTATTAATCTCATGTGCTATGTATAGGGCATTTGCTCTAATTTTAATTCTTCACCAAAAGCTTATACCTAGGACTGTACTATCTTTTTATGTGTAGGGTTCATAGATAAGGTTCTTCTCATACCATGAATACATTTGTGATAGATGGAAATGTACAGTGTCATGGAATTCACATCACCCTATACATATAGCCTAAATAGGAGCCCATTTTGTCTCATTAATTCATCTAAATATCAACAATCAACAAAGAAGGAAAAAGGTAATTTGGTACAATAGACTGTTGCATAAAGCAATTATCTGCAAAAAATTGGCCTAACTTCCTAAGACCTAATCAACATCATCTCATGAACAAGGATAACTTTTCAAGGCTTTTTGTTTAGAATTGGTTAGCAAAAAAAAAGGGCTTTTCTTCCACCCCATTCATCTAGCAATTTGTAGTTTCTCTCTAACTTCCTTTGCTTTGTCCCCACTTCTGCATTGTTAAAATATTCATATTTTAAGTTCTTTGAACTGTGCCCTGAACTTTTCAGAAAAACAGAACTACAAAGGTCTACTTTTCAAAATAATACAAGAGTCTTCTAGAAAATGCCTCTCTATGTGTTGAAAGAACCGGTGGAAAGTGAAGAAAGTGGAGAGACACTGCTCTTTGTTTCCCTCCTGTGTTTCTCCACCCATCCCCCCCACCTCACCCCTGCTTGGATATTGAACACCTCCACTGACATTGTCAACAAGGCTATTATTCCAGTCATTGGTCAATACATATTCATTTTCTGCTGAATGCCTGGGGAATTGACACATTGTATGCTGATCTCTCTCGGGTTCATTTTCTCAGAGACAATAATGCTCAATCTGTATCATACACATTTCTGGTTTATGAGATGGGGAGGATTAAGTTGTAACTCACCTGCATGGAAACTCAGATTTAAAGGAGCAAATAAAAATAAATGGTGTCTATTTTCTGAAAGAAAAAGGTCTGGTCACTTCAATTGTTTAAGAAAAGTAGATTTCTGTCTTATCTTCATGAAAAGCCCCTGCCTGTCTGTGGAGACAGTGATGAAACAAAAATAATCCAATGCACCTCACATCCAAATCAGAAAGTTAACTATTCAAGGTGCACAGTTCTCTAAAATGAGCATTTATCACCCTCTTGGGTAAGAAACAAGTTTATTCAAAATACATAAATATTTTGGGAAGAGTCTGCATAACAAAGTATTTTGCTAAGAATTAAAATACTTGATATTAACATATATTCAGATTAATTCTAGTTGTCAAAATGCTTTATTCTTCTTCAGATTTGTAACCTGAGGCAAGCCCTAATTTTACCAATTCCAGTCACTTTCTTCAAAGGCTTTCCTCTAAGCTCACCATTGTGGAGAAGTGATTAACCTCATTATATACTGATTATTTCTTCTCTGAGTATTTCCTTGTACACCGGTATGTAGTTATTTTTGTATTCTCTTGCACAGTTGTTTTACATTTTTTCTCTAGTTTCATGAATGCCTGAAGGCATAATAATACCTAACTTGCTGGGTTGCTGTGAGGTTTATGTGAAAGAACATATGCTGATTCCCATCTCCTGGTCCTGTTAAAGTTCTTGTGATGAAGAGGAAATTGGATACTTGGGAGAGAGAAAAGCTTGGATAACCTGCTTAGCCCAGCAACTGTATCGGAAGTGCTCCCTATGAGTCCCTGTGGGCATTCTGGAGTGCTTCTCCAGGTACCAGTTTGTTATGGCACTTAGAGGTCCCTATGAACCCCACAAGACATGGGTTTTTTTTTGTTTTTTATCAAGTTTATAAAATTAATTTGGTTGGTTTTGATGTGCTTTTTTTGTGTTTATAAAATGGACTACTTGTTAGCGTTTCAAAATCAAACACATTCATATAAAAATCTAAATCTCTTGCTGCACATGGTCGAGGGGACCTGCATGGCTGAAGTTGAAGATAACAAGCAGGTTGTAGGTAGATGTTGTGAACTTTACCACTTCCGATTGTGTTATTCACCCTCCTGCTTGTTTCATTCATCACTGCTTCTTGCTTGGTCTCTGGAGCCATTTGACTTTGAGATTCCCTTCTGGAGTCCTTTCTTCTTTTAAGTTTTTATGGTTTGAGATATCAGCATCCTTTGAACAAATTCCAAAGTCCACCCTTGTCCTCTTTTTCTTCAAACTGCATCTTACAACTCTGCGTGTTTCCTCTCCTAAGCTAAAATATATGCACATTGAGGAAAGATTCCACTTCTCTTTTTATAAGCCTTTGGTACAGTGTTGTAGATAATTACACTAATTTCATTATTGCCACATTTGGGGATTTATAAATTGCATAAACATGTAGAGGTTTTTTAAACTGAAAAGTAGTCTATGGTTTAGAAAGTGAGTTTTGAAGTAAAAATCTCTCCGTTCTAAGAGACTGAATATGCCAATGTAAAATGGCCACGTCAACATCTTCCAATCAGAGCCTGAGACTTTCTGTTTTTTCGCCTATAAAGCTTTCCAACTCCCTTGCCTGTCTTTGCGTCTTTGATAACTGCAAGTGATGATGGGTGAACCCTTGCTACATTAAGCTCTGAATAAATAGGGTTTGCTTGTTCTCATTTGGGTGGCCTTCATTTATTTTCACCGTTCATATCCTATCACTGTCACTTAGTTAAATAACGTTTGGCATATTTCTTAACTTCTTTGAGCCTTAGTTTCCACATTGTAAAATGGAGATTCTAGTGGTATCTACCACATAGAATTAAATCAGTTAATAAAGTACGTGAAAAACTCATAAAAAAATGTCTAGTTCACTGTAAGCCCTTAATAGTCCTCAGTATTTGTAATCATTGTAATTATTTTTAGGTATGAGGCAACAAAGTGGAGAGGTTAACAGAATTGCTTGAAGTTCACAGAAAATAACTGTCTAAGCTGGGTGCAACCTTTCTACTGGCTTCAAGTCCAGTGCCCTCTCGTCCTTCAAATAATCTTTACTTTGAATGCATTGCACAATCAGCAAATGTTTTCTAAATGAACGCATGAAAGAATAAGTAAATGAGTTAGCCGACTAAATTGTTACATAAGTTCCAAATGCAACTATGGGTAAGGAGAGAAATCACCCAATCAACCAAAAAATACCTGTGTTCAGAACCTTGTTAAATATGGTAAGGAGAAAACATAATTTCAGAGATAGAATGTATATTAGTAATCATTTAGTCCAGTTGCTTGCAGACTTTTACAAACTCCACAATAATAGAAACCTAAAAGGGAAAAGTTTATGCAGTCATATCTAACTAGCAGCCAAGTCAAACTAACCTTAGCTGTTTTTTGGTGATAAATGAAAGACAGAAATTTTCAGTTTGTTCTTAATCTTGATTTTTCCTGTAAATATTATTTGAGAAGAATCCTCTTCAACTCTTTCGGAAAATGGATAAATCAATTTAGAGCTCTCTGTAGTAAGAACTTCAAACCAGATAAGTCATGATTGTTATAAATATTAATACTTGTTCATTATATTAATGTTATTAATAATGATAAATATAAGAACTCATGTTTACAATGATTTACACACATATCCCCTTGTGTGCTCATTATAATAAACTTGTGAAGCATGTAGGGTAGACATTAAAATACCATTTTTTTCATGAAGAAGACAAAGAGGAAAGAGGCTCAGAGTAATGCAATTCTTATAAGATGGATCAGGCAGTACTGAGTTCAAATCCCACATTCTTACCTGCTGAGCCTCTCTAAGCCTCCACAAATGTGAACATTCGTAGTACAGATCCCATTGGTTAGTATGAGATTTAAACAAGATAAAGCAGAGATTCCAGAATCAAAACCATTGTTCTTTGTTCCTTTTCTCATTTATACATCTGAAGAGAAGATATTGTAATCTCTACTACAGTCCATAGCACTGTCGTTTCTTATCTAGGGCTCTTTTTCTATTTTAAATTAGAAAAAAAAAATAATAGTGTTTACAAGAAAAGTATCCTCATCCGCTGTTTTCCAACTGGAATAGCCTTAGGTGAAAAATTTCAAAGCTAGAATATCATTCTCCGTTGTTTTCTTATTTACACCTCGGTGAAGTACATGCTGTAACCTCTAGCATGCCCCAGCCCTGAAAATGATAAAGTTCTTCCACCAGCTGGTTTGCAAGTTCAAATTGCTTGCTCTCTTTGCAGAAGCACTTGAAAGCCACTGTGGTTCATTATGTGTGAAAGTGTAAATTGGTCTCCCGCCAATCAAACACGTCTTCTAAATATCTGTCCTGTGAGAATTGGCCTTCTATGTCATCTTTCGTGTCATTTCTTGTAAAAAGTTTTCCACAGCATTTCACCCCTCTGACCTTTCCACTGACGTAGGAGCATTTGGTGTCCACAGAGCATCCATCCTATGGCTGCAGCAATCGGACTCTCAGCCATCTCTATGACCTGTCATCTCCTTATCTGATGCCCTGCTCTGCACTGTGGACTCCTAGTGTATGAGAGCCCAAGGCTTTCAACATTTGATGCCTAATTTCTGAATTCTTAATTCAGTAAATATTTTTGGAATAAATGAGGAAATGGTTAAGTAAGTAAAAGCTGCCAGATCACTATAGCAGTGATATAATGGGAAAAACAAGTCTTTTTCTTGTTCTTTAGAAGTTTGTTGTGTCCTTTACCATGCTTTTGACTAAATTCACAGGTAAAGCTAACAAGGGAGGATCTTGAAACAGTCCTGTTGAAATCAGCTATATTTGCAAATGTTAAGTTAGGTCTTCAGTTCCACACACCTAACTGCTGTCTGGGCAGCTCTGTGTGATAACATCTACCCATAGCAGCAGCTCATTTTTACCTTCTGCTCTGAGATTAAAAAACTAATTACGGGATAATGAATTTGTAATGCTGCATAAGACAAATCTGTTGCTGAGTGACTGACAGAAATAATTCAAATTATTTTTGTAAGCTCCCATTCCATTCATTGCCAGGCATTATTATGGAACAATAGTAGATTACAATATCCTCAGGAAAAAAAAAAAGTCTGTAAAGCAGGGCTATGCTTATTTAAATATTGTTTATCCAGGTATTTATTATAATAAGATAATGATCTTACTGTGAATTAGCTATTGAGTAAGATGTTCTCATTGTTTGTAAAGTTTAATTCTATGCCAGAAAATAATCTTCGGAAGTAGTCACTGTAACAGCTAATGAATAAATATGAAGCTTATTTTCAAGCCATTTACACATTAGGAAATTTAGGTTTTAGCCCTCATTATTTTATCACATTTAATATAAAATTATAGACAGGTTTTGTCTTGATAAGTGAAATAATTTGCATGCATCAATCATAGCAAGAAAGACAAAGTTTAGCATTTCTCATATATTAATACTTATGTACAATTGGAGTTTTAGCTTGAATGGGCAAAGAAATATTTCTTTAGTAAAATTAGTGTGTATCTCATTGATTGAACAGCAGTGTGTATTTAATCAAATACTATTTATTAAGCAACAATATTTACTTATTACTGCGCTGAATATCAGAGTGTAGGGGAATTAAAATATGATCATGACCATCAGAGGCACTACACTCTCATTGAAAAGAGGATCGATCTATCTATCTATCTAATAGATAGATATACACACACATACACACATATACTTACAAACATACACACTGAATAAATGTAGAAATGTGGTAATTGATATTTTTATTTGGACTTGAAGGCTTCCTGATTCTCAAAGGTATATTTGGGAAGGTAACATGGCATAATGGGTTTGGAGTCCTGGATTGAATCTCAGCTCCATTATTTGCCAGTTGTGTGACTTTGGGCATTGTATATAAATTATCTAGCCTACAGGTTCTCAAACTGTTGCACTTGAGAGAGCCTTAAAAACCACAATGTCAAAACATCAGATCTTAAAAAACAAGTTTCAAGATTATTTCAATTAGCATCCAAGCCTGAGAGTGATTAATCTAGCTCACCATTTCTCAAACCGTAATGTGGGTACCAATTGCCCGGTTAGCTAACGAAAGTGCAAGTTCTCATACAGGAAGTCTTGCGTGTGGCCTGAGGTTTTGTATTACCAATAGGTAATATGATTGCCACTGGTCTGTGGCCTACTCTTGAAGTGGCAAGATTTTAGCCTACAATTTTATCTTCTTTAAACTGAAGATGTCTCTTGGAGTGTTGAGATAAACACTAGTCTTTAGGTACTCTACCAATCTCGTAGCAGATGTACCCTATAATATGGTTATAATAGAGATTTCAAGTCAATTTTTCTCAAACTCTTAATATAATTAGAGAAACACTGCTCTTGTAAGATGAATTAAATAAGACTTTTAAAAAAATTATTTTGAACCGTTTCATTTTCCTCTTAATGGGGAAAAGGCTACTCATCATTCCAGCCCCTGAAGCTTGTACAGCCACTTCAGGTCACACCTATCCTCCTTTAGCTCCACAGTTCTGGACTCTGGCTACCTATTAGAGAATCACCTGAGAAAATTTCACAGTATACTCAACGTCTGGGCCGCCCCCGGTGAAGTTAGTGAGTATCTCTCGGGGTAATGGGAGGCATCAGCACATTTTAAAAGCTGCCCCAGTGATTCCAACATGTGCTCTTGGTTGTGCACCACAACTCCACCTAATTCTCTACATTCCACTAGCTTGAGCTTTTACTCAGTTAGCACACACTGAGCTTCCTCTGTGTGCCAGTGTTATGCTGGGCTGTGGAACTCATAAAAATATGAATGATAAATAGCAAACATGTATCAAGATAGCCACTATACTCTTTTTACAACAAATCAATGGTAGATACTGTTATTGTTATCATCTGGATGATAAAACTGAGACTTAGAAAGGTCATGAAACATGTCCAGGATCCCAAGGCAGTGAGCAGGAATTCAAACCCCAAAGTCTTAGTCACATGACAACCTTGCTTTCTGCAAGGTTATTGTAGAGTATATGATGAGGTTGAAAAAAGTGCTGTGGGGCCATAGAAGTAGTTTATCTTGGGATATCTTCTTCACAATGTCCCATCCTGAATTTCTTGATCTTTTTTTTTTAATGACTGTTAAGTTTATCTACTCATATACAGTGTAGAATTCTTAGAGTCAAGGATCATTTTTATAATTGTACGATTGAATCTTTCAACCTAGGACAAGGTTGAAGACAAAGTAAATCTTCCCATTCTTCCTCTCTCTCTCTGTGTTTGTATACACATATATGTGTACACATTTATATTTATATTTAAGCTGTCTTTTAACTCTTATGTGTACAGAATTGTTCTGCCAGTACTGATCAAGTTCTCTCTCTTCTCTGATTTAATATTATTATTTTTCTATCTCAGCCTATATCCTCATTCTTATCTCCATTATCCTCATTAACTATTCACTTTTGTGTAAGTGTGTCCTCGAATTCTATTTTCCAGGTTTTCTGGGTAGTGATACATTTCAAATTAATATATATTATTATTCTGTGTGTTTTATAGTTATAAAAATCTTACTTTAAATTTTGTTGTTTTCTTAAATTTTCTATAAATATTCTCTTTAGATCTATTCAGCTTGCCCACCTTAAATCTTGTTTATAATTTCTGATTATCACATTTTATTTTATGGTATGCATTTATATATTTTACTTATCCATTCACTTTTTATTAAAAAAATTGAAGTTGCTTTTATTTATTGTTTTCATTCACACAAAAAGACTGCTAATGGATCTCATTATGACATACAGTGAAAAAGTTTTATGGAGATACATAACATAGAAAGAAATTTTGGGGTCATATACTTAAAATCTTTGAAATAATTTGGCCTTCAAAGAAGAGGTGCCAGTTGCATCTCCCACTAATTCCAGTTATTCACATCCTGTCTTGTGTTTTATTTTTTTAGCAGGTCAATCTGATTGATATCAAATGCTATTTCACTGTTTTAGTTACAATTTTTCTGAGTATTAGAAAGTGTGAACACAGTTTATTAGACATTTGGGTTTTCTCTTTGTTAAGAAACTTATTTATACCTACTATTCATATTTTTCTAATGAGTGTATTATATTTTTCTCAAAGAATGCAGGAGTTTTTATACAAATTATTTTTAGATTTTGAAAATATCTTCTTCTATTATATTACAAATTATCTAACTTTGTCCAACAAAATCATCTTTTTTATGAGAAATAATATAGAATGCTAGTTTGAGCTTATTTTAGCTCCTTATTTTCATTGTACTCTAGTCCTGATTGTCACTGGTAACAAGTTTGTTGTCAAACTAATTGTTCCTCATTTGCATGTAATATATTTTTTCCTCTCTGATTGTTTTTTAAAATGTCTTTTTTTCTTTGGTATTTATTTGGTAAATTGCAAATAAATTCACTACAATATTTTTGGAAATGTATTATTTTTACTTTTTTTGCATTCCTTAATATGAAAATTTATAACCCTCTCAATTCTAAAAAAAATCCTTCAACTCTTTGTTTATTACTCTGCCAAGATTTTTGCATATCCCCATTTATGAAATTATTTTAGATATATGTTAGGTCTTCTCACTGAAAATTCAATTTTTCTTAACTTTTAATATCTTTTATGCATTTACCTCAATGTGATTGATTATGAGTTACTTCCTTATCTCTATCTTCCAGTTCACTAACATTACTTTCAGTAGGGTCTAATTCAAAATTTAATGCGTACATTTAGTTTTTTTTAATTTCTGTGATTGTACTTTTCAAACTTCTAGTAGTTTTATTTGATTCTTTTTTAAATGCTTCCTCTTCTTTATTCAAAAATTGAATTACTTTATTCTCTTTTCATTAAATTATGTTATGTCTATAATATATGTAACATACATTTTGTAAAGTCTTTAGCTTTTTTTTATTTCTTCAATTTTAAAATATTTTTATTTTTACCCCAGCTATTTACTACATCTGCTAAATTTTCATTCAAGGTGGAAATATTGTGTAAGTATTTTGTAACGTTGTAAAGTGAGCTTATTTTTACTGAGATTTTATTTGTGGGGATAACTCCAGCATAGCTTTGCCAATGTTTATAAGAGTTGTACCAGTGATATCATTAGAGTTGGCATAGATTTATGCTAATTTGGGGTTCTAAGTTCCCATAGATGTGATGCATTTAAACTCAGTGTGCACAAGCAGCAAGCCTGGCGTTTTAGCAGAGTTTATGTTTTCCCTTTTCAAATCTTTGGTATGACATGCTTCCTCATTGGCCCTCTGTACTGGTGGGTGGATTTTTCTATTCTTTCTTTTTATGAGGAAGTCAAGCCCTAGTGGGGCTGCAACTTTTTGCAGTTTCCCTAACACTGCCTCATGCAGAACCAAACCTTTTCTACAGTTTTCGTATGATCTTTAAATAAATACATATCTACTTCCTCCCTCATCCCCTTACCTCCACACTTACATGAGACAGCTTCAGTACATATGATTCATTCTGTGTTCCTTCCATCCCCTCCTTTTTCCTCTGTCACCTAGGAATTTCACTTTTTTTTATATCAGTTATTAATTTTAAAATGACAATTTTTAAATCCATCATTTCCGAGCATCTGTTGCAGAATTTTCAAGTTTACTTTGTCAACAATTTTGCCATGTATAGAGACAGCACTATAAGGAATTGTTCTTAAGATTATAATATGAATACTATATTAGGCAACAGTCCCTATTTCAATACTTGAACATACGTTCTAAATAATAGGAGTGTTTGATTTCTCATATATTAATGGCACAGTGTCATGTGGGTATGAGTGGTGCTGGTAGTGGAGAATGCTAAAGGGATGCCGAGCATACCTATACTTACGGATATCCAGTGGTCCCCAGCAAGAGGGCAGCATTGCCATAATTTTTTAACCCACCACCTTCGCATCAAGCCTTTGCTGCTTTCCCGCATAGAACTAGCATGAGACAAAAAAATGTGGAGAAGAGAAAGAACATAGCTGGAAAGTTCTTCCTTGTATTCTCCTCGTATGTTATCACCTGATATTAGTCTACTCTTGGTAACCGTTTCTTTATTTCTTTTGCATCCAGCCATCTTCTATCTTCTGAGGTTCTCACAATTTCATAAACATACCTCTCTCTTCTATAATATTTTCTGCCTTTGGACGTGGGGAACAGCAAGTAACCCAGCTAATTCTCCATCCTATCTAGAATATCTCAAATAAATATTTGTTGATCACTCTATTATCAGACTATAGGTCTGTGACTTTATCTGTAATTTGTTGTGAAAGAGTGTATAAACAGAGATATCTTTATTTTATTTATTTATTTATTTATTTATTTATTTATTGAGACAGAGTCTCCCTCTGTCACCCAAGCTGGAGTGCAACCACCATCTCCAGGGTTCAAGTGATTCTCATGCCTCTCCCAAGTAGCTGGGATTACAGGCATTCACCACCACAGCTGCTAATTTTTGTATTTTTAGTAGAGATTGGGTTTCGCCATTTGGGCCAGGCTGGTCTCGAACTCCTGATCTCAGGTGATCTACCTGCCTCGGCCTCCCAAAGTGCTGGGATTATAGGTGTGAACCACTGCACCCAGACAAACAAAGATATCTTTAGATGAAAAGTGTTACATAATTGAAAAGCAGTCCTTAAGGCCCATACTGTTGGTATGAGGCACCCAGTAAGAACCACACTTGACAAATTTTTATAAGGCAGTGTTTGAGTGGCAGATATTCATTCATTCATCCCTTTAGTAACTATTGAATACTTTATTTACCCCTTTTCTAGCACAGTGAGTTACTTTTATGCTTTTTTTTTTTTTCAAGGTGGGGCCTCACTTTGTCACCCAGGCTGGAGTGCAGTGGTGCAATCATGGCTCACTGCAGCCTTAACTTCCCAGGCTCAGGTGATTCTCCCACCTCAGCCTCCTGGGTAGCTGGGACTAAAGACATGTGCCACCATGCCCGGCTAATTTTTGTATTTTTTAAATTTTATTTTTCTGTAAGTAATTGGGGTGCAGGTGGTATTTGGTTACATGAGTAATTTCTTTAGTGGAGATTTGTGAGAGCCTGGAGCACCCATCACCCAAGCAGTATACACTGCACCATATTTGTTGTCTTTTATCCCTCACCCACCTCCCACTCTTCCCCCAAAGTTCCCAAAGTCCATTGAATCATTTTTATGCCTCTGTGTCCTCATAGCTTAGCTCCCACATATCAGTGAGAAAATACGATGTTTGGTTTTCCATTCCTGAGTTACTTCACTTAGAATAATAGTCTCTAATCTCATCCAGGTCATTGCAAATGCTGTTAATTCATTCCTTTTTATGGCTGAGTAGTATTCCATCATATTTTTTGTAGAGACGGGGTTTCACCATGCTGCCCAGGCTGGTCTCAAACTCCGGGGCTCAAGGGGTCCACCTGCCTCAGCTTCCGAAAGTGTTGGGATTACAGGTGTAAGCCACAACACCCAGCCATTTTATGCCTAGTCTTTATATTTATTAAACTCCTTCTCATTCTATGAACTGAACAATTAGATTTTTCTCAGTTATATAAAATATTACATAAATAAAGCTTTAAAGCTTTATTTTTCACTACCACATTGCCAGTGCAAAGACTTTCTCACATAGAAATTCCTACATAAGCACCCTATTACATTTGCCATTCACTGTACAATGTTTTGGAGTACAACAAATGAAAACACACAGAGCCCCTTCATAGAAGTGTATTGTGTATTGGGGCAGACAGTTTTCAAAGGATTAATTAATAATACTGTGACTCTTAGGTTTTTTGAAAGCATAGACAGACATGGATTACATTCAACCTGTATTTATGTACTCTTGTACTGGTTGTTTTGAATAATGCCTGTTCTGATGAGACCAGTGTCTATTTTGGTTCATCAGTGCCCATGCTCTATTGGCTATTAAATGTTTATATTACCTCTGCTATTAGGCTGCTCTGAGAGCCTAGGGAAGTATCACTTGAGATTTCCACCCACTGCTCCTTCTTTTACTCCCCATACTCAATGCAAAAATGTAAACAATTTTTCATAGACTCATAGGTCAATATCTGATTGTATTACACCTGTGCTGTCCAATAATGTAGCCACTAGCTTCATGTAGCTATTGATCACTTAAAATGTAACATGTTCAAATTGAGATGTGCTGTAGGTATAAAATACACATCCAATTTTGAAGACTTAAAATTCAAAATACCTTATTCTTTCTATAATGATTGCATGTTAAAGTTACATTATTTTGCATATGTTGGGTTTAATAAATTATGTCATTCAAATTGCTTACACCTGTGTATAAATCCATTTTCACGCTGATAAAGACATACCTGAGATTGGGCAATTTATAAAAGAAAGAAGTTTATTGAACTTACAGTCCCATATGGCTGATGGGGCCTCACAATCATGGCGGAAAGCAAGGAGGAGCAAGTCATACCTTATGTGAATGGCAGCAGGCAAACAAAATAGCTTGTGCAGAGAAACTCATGCTTTTAACACCATCAAATCTCTTGAGACCCTTTCAGTATCACGAGAACAGCATGGGAAAGATCCGCCTCCAAGATTCAATCATCTCCCACTGGGTCCCTCGAACAACAGGTGGGACTTATGGGAGCTACAAGATTAGATTTGGGTGGGGACACAGAGCCAAACCATATCCTTCTGCCCCTGGCCCCTCACAAATCTCATATCTTCACATTTCAAAATCAATTATGCCTCCCAACAGTCCCCCAGTCTCAACTTATTTCAGGATTAACTAAACAGTCCACAGTCCAAAGTCTCATCCAAGACAAGGTGAATACCTTCCACCTGTAAGCCTGTAAAATCAAAAGCAAGTTAGTTACTTCCTAAGTACAATGGGGACACAGGTATTTGGTAAATACAGCCATTGCAAATGGGAGAAATTGGCCGAAGCTTAAAGGCTAAAGGCCCCATGCAAGTTCGATTATCCAGCAGGACAGTCAAATCTTAAAGCTGTAAAATGATCTCCTTTGATTCCACGTCTCATAAACAGATCACACTGATACAAGAGGTGGGTTCCCATAATCTTGGGTAGCGCCACCCCTAGGGCTTTGCAAGGTATATCCCCCCTAATAGCTGCTTTCACGGGCTGGCGTTGAGTGTCCATGGCTGTTCCAGGTGTGTGGTGCAAGCTATCAGTGGATCTACCATTCCGGGGTCTGGAGGATGGTGGCCCTCTTCTCACAGTTCACTAGGCAGTACCCCAGTAGGGATTATGTGTGGGGGATCTGACCCCACATTTCCCTTCTGCACTGCCATAGCAGAGTTTCTCTATGAGATCCCTGCCCCTGCAGCAAACTTTTGCCTGGGCATCCAGGCATCCTCATACATCTGAGATCTAGTCAGAGGTTCCCAAATCTCAGTTCTTGACTTCTGTGTACTCACAGGCTCAACACTATGAGGAAGCTGCCAAGGCTTGGGGCTTCCACCTTCTAAAGCAACAGCCCAAGCTGTACCTTGGCCCCTTTCATCAGTCACGGCTGGAGATGCTGGGATGCAAGGCCCCAAGTCCCTAGACTGCACACAGCAGAGGGATCCTGGGCCCAGCCCATGAAACAATTTTTTGCTCCTAAACTTCCAGGCCTGTGATGGGGAGGGGCTGCTGCAAAGGTCTCTGACATGCCCTGGAGACATTTTTTCAATTGTCTTGGTGATTAACATTCCGCTCCTCGTTACTTATGCAAATTTCTGCACCTGGCTTGAATTTCTCCTCAGAGAATGGGGTTTTCTTTCCTATTGCATTGTCAGGCTGCAAATTTTCCAAACTTTAATGTTCTGTTTCCCTTTAAAAAAAAAGGTGCCTTTAACAGCACCCAAGTCAACTCTTGAATTCTTTGCTGCTTAGAAACTTCTTCCACCAGAAACCCTAAATCATCTCTCTCAACTTCAAAGTTCCACAAATCTATAGCGCAGGGGCAAAATGCTGCCAGTCTCTTTGCTAAAACATAACAAGGGTCACCTTTGCTCTAGTTCCCAACAAGTTCCTCATCTCCATCTGAGACCACCTCAGCCTGGAACTTATTGTTCATATCACTATCAGCATTTTTGTCAAAGCCATTCAACAAGTGTGTAGGGAGTTCCAAACTTTCCCACATTTTCCTGTCTTCTGAGCCCTCCAAACTGTTCCAACCTCTGCCTGTTACCCAGTTCCAAAGTTGCTTCCACATTTTTAGGTACCTTTATTGTAGCACCCCCCTACCCAGTACCAATTAACTGTATTATCCCGTTCTCATGCTGCTAATAAAGACATGCTGGTGGCTGGGTAATTTATACAGGAAAGAGGTTTCACTGACTCACAGTTCCACATGGCTGGGGGGCCTAACAATCCTGGCAGAAGATGAAGGAAGAGCAAAGGGACGTCTTACGTGGCGGCGGGCAAAGAACTTGTGCAGGGGAATTACCCTTTATAAAACTATCAGATCTTGTGAAACATTCACTATCATGAGAACAGCAAGGAGAAGACCCACCCCTATGTTTTAATTAACTCCCACTGGGTCCCTCCTATGATGCATGGGGATTATGGGAGCTACAATTCAAGATGAGATTTGGGTGGAGACACAGCCAAACCATATCATATTAGAATAAAATAATATAGAATACGTAATCCTAAACTATTTTAAAATCAGTTGGGCCAAAATATACCAAGGAAATAACAATCCAGAAAAACCACAGAAGGTTATTCAGAACAATCGAAAAGTAATATCTGGTGCGCATGGAAATGAAGATGGATTAAATGGACACTGGGGACTATTAGATGGGGGAGAAGGAGGAGGGGCTCCAGGGCTGAAATTCTACCTACTGGGTAGTATACTCATTACTTGGGTGATGAATTCATTTGTACTCCAAACCTCAGTATTACACGATATACCTTTGTAACAAACCAGTACTTATACCTCCTAATTCTAAAATAAAAGTTGAAAAAAAAAGAAAAGTGATGTGTGAGGAATAGTATTTATCTAGTATTAGCAGAACCCACCCTACCCCCAAGATAGTGGTTTGCATCTCAGAATTTTATTCTCTCAGATAAAGGAAGGAAGACATTGGTACTCTTAAGGTTACTATGGCAGCTCCACGGAGCCATCCAAGTCACAGGCTTCTTCCAACTCTCCGTTCTATCATTCCTGGTTTATGTGCCTTATCTTTACCACTCAAGATAGCACGTAAAACTCCGGATATCAATGCTGTATTTCAGGAAGCAGATTGGAGGTCATGTAAAGAAATGTATCATCCTTCTCTTTAAGAGATGTCCTTGTAATCACCCCAAACAGCTCTGCTCACGTGTCACTGGCCAGAATTCAGTCATGTGAACCATTTCACCACGTGAAGGCTGAAAAATCTGTGTTTTGTTTTTCTTCTGTTTTTAGCTGAGCAGCAAACACACTGCTAAAGATTGGCAGTTTCGTTATTAAGAAATATAAGAAAACAGATTCTGGAGTCAGCAATAATCCATATTTCACTTCCCAAATATTTATGCAAACCCTTCCTCCTAAAACTAAAAAATTTCTCTAGTTACTGTATCTATACATAATCAAGAAAATCTAGGTGATGGGAGGTTCTTTCCTTCAGGTCCAGACATGCTTTTATTTGATCTAAAGACTTACATATTAAATGTGTCTATTATTGGATACTAACACATCTAATATATGTTCATATGTTTGTCTTGTTTTGTTTGAGTTGAGACAGAGTCTTGCTCTGCCACCCAGGCTGGAGTGCTGTGGTGCGATTTTGGGTCACTGCAACCTCCGCCTCCCAGGTTCAAGCAATTCTCCTGCCTCAGCCTCCCAAGTAACTGGGATTACAGGTATCTGCCACCATGCGCGGCTAATTTTTGTATTTTTAGTAGGGACAGAGTTTCACCATGTTGGCCAGGCTGGTGTCGATCTCCTGTCCTCAAGTGATCCACCCCTCTCTGCCTCCCAAAGTGCTATGATTACAGGCATGAGCCACCACGCCCAGCAAATGTATGAAAAGTAAAGAAAGAAGAGAATTTAAAACCTCTTTTCTAGAAAAGAGAAATATGTGAAACACAGGGGGAGTCATGGATTAACCACAATGATCATATCTGCTGGGCAGGAATGGTAAAAAGCTCTTTGTCTTGCCTCTGTTTCTCCTGATGTTTTTCATTGTCCATTAATGTGCCACATTTGAGAGGTAAATTGGGAAATACACCATTTTCTGTGGAGCGATACCCGAGAAACTGGGGAATGTTTTTAGGATTAACAGGCACAGGATTGGTATTATTTTGGTAACTTAATTCTCTGAAGTTTGTTAATTATTTGGCCTATTTGCTTGTAGCCCATCCCATGTGCAAGTAAACATATCCAAAGTTCTTGTCTAAGACATATTGAGCCAAATTGGTCAAGATTATCAAAATTGGATAAATATAGCCTAAAAGAAGGACTGAGAAGAGGCATGATAGCCATCTTATAATGCTGACAAATTGTCATGGAGCAAAGGAAAAATTTATCTTGCATAGTTTTGGAAGGCAAAACATTGTGTAATAGGAATAAATTAAAAGGAGGCAGGTATTGATGAAGCTTGAAGGAAATGAAACAGAATAAAACACCCTTTCCAATAATTGGAACTGCCCCAAATCTGTATGTTTGCCTGATGAGATTCCCTCACTGGTTTTCAAAATGTCTACGGAGGGAATTCCTACAGTGTAGGAGGTTAAATTAGATGATCTCTAGGGTTTCATCTAACCCTGCCTTCCATGTTTCTATGATTCAATGAAACCAAAAGACAAGGATTGGACAAGTATTGATTCAGAAGAACCCAGAAAGGCATGAAGAAACTACAGAAACACATCAAACTGTCTTGCAAGCTGCCATAAAAGATTTATGCTACTCCCTTAAGAGCAGCCAAAAAGTTAACGTTGTTCAGTCTTCATCATCTAGTTGGCTGTTTGATTTATGTGAATTACTGACACAAGGTTTTAGAAGTTGTCACAAAACAAAAGGTCTCTATAAGATATATGTTGTTCTTTAGAAAACCTATTTTGTTCTACAGAAAATGTGTTGATTTTTGTGAATAAATTGTTAGTAACTCCTGGGATTTGTGTTGGTGAGTTTTATGGAGAACAAATTATATCTTAGCAACACCTAAGACCATAGTTACTATACTTAAGAGTTTTCTTTTCCTATTGCTTTGAATTGTTCACATGAACAGTGGGAGTTTCCTATATGACTTTTCTTCAAATTTAGAAATTTAGACTGAGTTCTTTAATAAACATATCCTGTTCCAAAAAAACTTTAACAGAAACTTCTGATTTTTCAGAAAGATACCTAGGCATTCAAAAGACTGTGTGAATATATCCAAGATACAAATAGAACATGTTATTCTGTAAATAGTTGTTGAGTTCTTATACACTTACAATGCACCAGATGTTGAACTTGGTATTGAAGATAAAGTGGTGAACAAGTCAGACACAGCCATCTTTGTGGTGCATACAGTCCAGCAGCTGGGGAGTCATATAAGATAAATTATAAAAGTGCTGTGAGAGGGGAAGATGGTGACACAAGGGAGATTACAAAAAGGGAAACTAGCCTAGATTAGTAAAAAGGGATGCAGCGTTGAGGCCCAAGTGTAAGAAAAGTGTGAGCAACTCTGCTTAACGTGGTTTCCCAGCTACCCTACTATCTCTGTCCTGAGTTAACACCTGTGACCAGGGCTGATCCAATTTTTCTGAGTCTTAACGATCATAAAATTCTAACAAAATCAAATATTTATAATCAATTATTGAATACTTCTGAAATTGTAGAGTTTCAAATTCTTTTCTTTTGAGCTCCATTTAGGCCATTTTCCTGAAATGCTTAAGTAGATACACTTTCTGATTGCAACTTGGCTTTTCCGCCCCACCTAGAACATGCTACAACTCCTGGTAAATTCCTAAGTCTAAATGGGTCCCATGTAAGTAAGGGGTCTTAAAATTCATGCTTCATTAAATGTATAGTAAACCTACCTTGTCAATGAAATAAATTTAAAAGTAACACAAGATAGAAGTTCTGCTTTGTGTATGCTCTGACTTTTGGGAATTTTTTGATGCTTCAGAGTAGAAATCGTACTTCAGTGACCCAGGTTATAATACAGGCTCTCATTCTGACACACTTGGATTTGAAGTCTGGTTCTGCCAGTGATTAGCTGTGCAAATTTGGGCATATGACTCAAACTCTTTGAAACTCAGTTTTTTCATCTATGAAATGGAGTTAATAACACCCATCATTTAGAGTTTTGATAGAAATTAAAAGGGTGATGGTGAAAAGCTTTTAGCACAGAGCCTACAAAATATAAGCTCTATGCATATGAGGCTTGATTTTATTCATCCTCGTAATCATCATTATTATTATATTTTTAAACAGTTTTGGCATGGAAGCTCATAGAGAACATCACGATTTATAAATATTAAAGTAAATAAGAAGGCATATGATTTATAAACCAGTATTATAATAGTACCTAAAACTTAGATAGGACTATAGTTTACAAAGCATCTCCACGTGCACTGTCTCATCTGATACAAACTGATGCTTACCACCAGGACTGTTATTCACCTAAGAGCCCCTGGCTGTTTGCTGTCAACATCCATTCTGATTGGACAATATCCTTGCCATATTTGCTGTTGAATATTTTGAATGTTATTCTTCAGAACAACATGCTAGATTTTATTGCTCTCTTCTACTTTTCCTATGCAAAGCAGGAAAGGCTAAAAGTGAGGAGAATGAGTTTACCAAACTTCATATAAGAAGGTGGGTCACATTGACTGGAACGGAGCTGCCAAATGCCAACCCCAGTGCTCTTTCCATGATATAAAAGCTGGGTAGTTTTTTTGACATTTAGTCTAGTCTCACATCATCTTTAGATTAACGATGAAAGTCGAATCCTATAGGCAAAGCCAATTTTATAGATATTCTAAAAGATATTATGTTTCCTTCTCTTCCAGTGAAGGGATCACCAATGGGATTGGAAACATTTATAGAATTAACAGTATTAAAGCATTGCATCCTATTTTATGTGAGACCAGAGATATGCTGGGGTAATGCCTTATGGCAGCCTAGATGATGACTGAGCATTGAGGTAACTGCTGGGGAAGAAAGAGAGAAACCTATCAGATTACACTCAAGAAAGCGATGGTTCATGAATATACAATGGTGCATTGCCTGCAGAACCAACACTGGTATCTTGGTGACCATCATTAATTTATTTCCTTGCAACACTTCATCCTCCATACATAACGTGGATCAGTGGCTCTCAAACCATGTAATGAGGAGCTAAAAAGTTTCCTGTGGAATCCTTTTAATCCTCTCAGTGGAGGAAAGAGGTGAAGTAACAGGCAGTGTCTGGCATCCGTTAGAACTAATCATAGTATGTACTTATTTATCTCCTTTATATATTGGACTTGTGCTTAAACGTTCCATTAAAATGGGGATTCTTGTCCTGAAGTAAGCTTGTGAACTACTGTATAAAGCACACAGCATCTAGCTGAAAAGGTAATCATGCCACATTCTAAATATTATTTTGAGAAAGTTATGCTACTTTTCTACAATTCAGTAAAATTTATAGTTTTTGTTAAAAAAATTAAAGGATTACTTTTCTCTGGGGTTTATAAGCTAGTGAAGTGATGTATGTGTTGCTGTTGCCTTATGGCCTGTAGAATAAGATACCGATATTAGGTGTTACTATTATAATTACTATTATATTCTTATCAGTGCTATGTTTGATGGCCATACATTGTACCTGACTTAATCAGAGGATAAATATTCTTGGAAAAGAAAAGCAAAAAGCAGCAGGTAATTTCTCATGAGAACTGCCCTTCTCCTAATATTTTTACTTTTTCTCCAAAATGTTTCCTAAAGTTCAGCTGATTATGTAAGGATCATGTAAGAGAAGATATTGGTTTCACCATAATAAACTTTTTGAATGATTTTACTACAAATTAGCTGTTCAGCAGACCAAAAAAAACATGCATGACTCCATTAAATAATATGCATAATCAGAATCTTCATTTCTTGCTACTTAACTGTTTTTTTTTTTCTTTTAAGATAGGCTTAGGTAATATTCTGACTCCAATTTTTTAAGAGCTTCATGGACAGTCTTTCCACCTATGACCTCACAAAATTAGGAGATTTTTTGAGGTTCAAATATGAAGTGAGGGAATTGTCAAAATGCTCATCAAACAACGTGAAGGTGAAGAAGTCAAAGTCTTTCTTTACCCTCTTAAGTGCTACTAATCTCAGCCGCTATATTACAAATTGGCTATTTTCTTCATAAAAACATGATTTGACTGAGATGTTATTCCTCTGACACAAAGCAAGATTAATTTGTTCCTGTAGTTTGTGATGTTAGCTTGTTTCCACAACTACAAAAACTCCGAGAATAAGATGAGAGATTACTGGCTAAGGCATATCGAAGGAAGTTCGTGTATCTGAAAAAGCTTTGTAATTAGGACATTTCTAATTTATGGTGTTAACAACAGTTTTCCTATCAAGATTCTTCAGCTGATCTACAACCAGAATGACACAGCAAAATCTTGTCCTCAAAGTAGAAATGATGATATCACTTCTAATGGGGAACTCAATTGGAAAATAAATATGTAAAGTATAATACTAGCTGTTATTAACTTTCTCATTTATCTTGTTAGAACCACTGCTATGGTTTAAATGTTGTGTACATCAACATTCATATGCTGAAATTCTAACTCCCAAGATGATGGTATTAGGAGCTGAGGCATTTGGGAGGTGATTAGATCATAAGGATGGACGTCTCATGGATGAGATTTGTGCCTCTTTTATAAAAGAGGCCCAAGAGAGAACCCTCACTCCTCCCACCATGAGAGGACACAGTGAGAGGGCATCATCTATGAAACACACCTAGAAATCTGGCCCTTACCAGGAACCAAATCTCTGAGAACTTTCATCTTGGACTTTTCATTCTACAGAACTGTGAGAAATCAATTTCTGTAGTTTATAAATCACCCAGTCTATGGTAGTTTGTTATAGCAGCCCAAATGGTCTAAAACAACCACTCCAGTGATGAGTAACTAACAACTTGACTAGTCTTGAGACTTGACCCAGGACATAGTCACTGAGACAAGAAAGAAACTTATCCCTTAATTCAACCAATTGTTTACTAAGTACCTGCTATATGCTTAGAAAGTAAGACAGACAAAATCTCGTTTTTGAAAAATGTACATTCTAGAATAGGAATAAGTACAATGAATGTACTTAGAAATAATCTTAGATAGTGATAGGCACGATGAAAATATAAAACAGAGTAATTATAAAGAGGGATGGATAAGAGACAAGGATTATGAAGATGAGGGTTATTTGAGATAATTATATATTACTATTTACATATATTACTATATATATACACACATATATATATACTACACACACACACACACACACACACACACACACTGAATAAGGACAAGAATGAAGGAATGAGACATTAAGCGGCATTGGGTAAGAGAGTTCCAGACAGAGAGAATTGCAAAGATCCTTAGGCATAAATAAACTTGTGCTATATAGAAAGTGAAAGATGGCCAATGATGCTGCAACAAAATGCATAAGATAAAGAATAGTAGGGGCTGAGATATTAGAAGCAACTTTTCTCTATCTGCTTCCCAATCCTTTAATTAAGTTTATTAAATTCCTATTTCTGTGGCTAAACTCTGACGTTAATTTCTGTCCTCTCCCTTAAGCCCTCCGTATCAGTGGATCTTTTCTAACATATTAAATATTTCCAAATTAAAACAAAATACTATTTCAAAGACCAGTAATGCATTTTCTAAAATGGTTGCTAAAGCTTCTTTAATAATTTAAAATAATAAAATGATTAATCACAGTTTCAAATGTTAATACTTTCTAAAGACATCAATTTAGATATAGATATAAATAGCGATGTAGTTGTAGGTGTAAGTATAGATACATACTTTTTTAAAACGCTACAATCCATACACATTTCTCACCCCAAATTTGTGCTCATAAAAATGGTTCTTCTTGGCCAGGCGCAGTGGCTCATGCCTGTAATCCCAGCACCTTGGGAGGCCAAGGCGGGCGGATCACGAGGTCAGGAGATTGAGACAATCCTGGCTAACACGGTGAAACCCCATCTCTACTAAATATACAAAAAATTAGCAGGGCGTGGTGGCGGGCACCTATAGTCCCAGCCACTCGGGAGGCTGAGGCAGGAGAATGGCGTGAACCCGGGAGGCGGAGCTTGCAGTGAGCCGAGGATGCGTCACTGCACTCCAGCCTGGGCGACAGAGCGATGCTCCGTCTCAAAAACAAAAACAAAAACAAACAAACAAACAAAAAGTTCTTCTTCACTGGCCGAATTCAAATCCTAAATTCATAACTGAAGTTCAGGAGGTAAGTGGCCAAACTGACTAATGACATTTTGGTATGTACCCTTTTTTCCCTACATCTAGCAACTTTGCTGCTGGTGGTTTTATGGGCATACATCTTTATCATTTTGTTTTGTTTTGTTTTCAAAAAGGTGTATTGCTGTTATCCTTCAGGAAATGGGAAAAAATGATCAAAGTTCTTGGAAAGTCCATATTTTAGGCACAAGTACCATCAATGTAGCCGCATTAAAAAATGGTATTCACATTGGTCTGATATAGACATGCTTCTCTTTAGAAACAGTCTCCCCACTGGAGTTGAACATTTACATAAGGACATTTTAAAAGAGAAGTCTACATGTAGCCACAAGGATTTACTGTATTGGGTCACTTCACATATTCCCAATGGCCCAAGAGGGAGAGTAATTTTGGCATTTTTATCAAGGCTCAAATTTTCACTGTAGGTACAGGGACACCGCAGTGTATGAAGAAAGCCCTTGTCTAGTGAAGGTGATAGGATACCCCAGACTTCACCTTTAAGTGACTATAATGTTCTCCACTCCTGAGATGTACAACACACCTTGTTTGATTTTGAAGTAACTACTATTTTTTTCTGGGAGAAAAGTTGCTCTTGAGATTTCAGGAGTGAGGTTCTTTGATGACAAAAATGAAGAGCTCTGGAAAAATATTGCTCTTGGCAAAAAATAAAGCTATAATCAAGGTAATTTAAATGTTCCAGTTGCAATGAGACTATTATGTGGTTGTTTGGTAAAGGTCATTATAGTATAGTATATTTTATGAGCAGTGATTTTATACCTACTGTTTCTATAATTAGTTCAATATTAAGTAAAAGTATAATGAGGAGAGATGTTAAATTCTGTATCAGTCAGATAGAAAGGTGGCTTTAGCCAGCAGAGTGTTACATTGGACATAAATATGTATAAAGCAGAAAATAAGTGACAGATGATATCTCTTCCTAAAAGGGCCAAGTGGCACAGCCAAATCAGAATTAGAAATGTGAGGCCTCAGTCTGAAGACATTAGAAGATATATTGGGAGTACCAGGCAAGCTGATTGAAACACAACGGAGGGTCTTGTTTAGTAGAAAGCACACAAGTGCTGATTAAAGATCAGCCTTTTTCCTAAAAGCAGGAACAACAGAACAGATTACCAATAGGACTTGATAGCAGTGCAGGCAGCATGGTTAGGAGAGAAAGGAGAAATGCTGGAGAGGAGAAGAAAGCAATGGCACCAAGCTTTACATTTGAAACATCAGCTGTCTATGGGTTCCCGAAGCCAGGTCTCATGGCCTGAAATCTAAAAGCAGGGAAAAGTGAGTCTCTCAGAATTCTTTGACTTTAAAGATAAGACTGCAAAAATATTTGCTTCCCTTCTTTTAACTGTTTTGGTATATTGTTGCTTTAATAAATAGAAACTTCTTTACTTGTGTTTCTTACAGGCTGCCTTATGAACTCCTAAAAACTCATTGAAGTCCAGGACATGATGAATTGATTTTGTGAATTCGATATGGGCATGGTGATTAGAAGAAGAGGAGAAGGGGCCCATTCATTTATTCATTTATTATTTTCAGCAAAATATTAAGTTGGTTTAAAGGAAATCTGCCAAGAAAGTAGTTTGACTCCATTTGAAACGAGGGCTACCCAGAATAGAAAACCTATTTAAGATTTATATTTGCCTTTAAAAACACAACAACCGTAGAGATTTGAACCTGGGCTATAGAGGTTAGAACATCAAACCAAGGATCAAAACAGAGGTGTTTGCCCTTATAAGTTATCACTGATGCTCTGTCTACTCCTGTTAGCCTTCTTCCTTAAAGACAAAGAACCAAAAATCAATTCATCTAGCCCCATGGTTTCTACTGTCTTTCTCCACAGTACCTTGGCTTTGGGACGAATATAAATCAGAAGTGAATGGAGGGAGGAAAATCTCTCTAGTTTCTATTCCATTGGGTAATTATTTTTTAAATACAAGTAAGATTGAACTGTAATTTATAGCTGAGAGGTCTGCAAGGTTTACTTTTTTCTCTCCCCACCTACATTTTCCTCTCTCATTATAGATTAATGATGGTGAGAAACAGAGCTTTGCTCAGGTATCAGTATGAAAAATCGTCAGTAGAAAATACAAGGGTTTTGTCCAGCAAGAGTCAGGATGGGAGAGAAAATTCTGGCTTTAGAGACAAGGAAAAGAGAGTATTAAGATACGCCTTCTTCCCTTGCGAACTTTATTTGTAGCCACTATTTGTGTGTAGACCATTTAAAATTTAAAATTTGTGTTTGCATTTTTTATGTGTGTGTGTTTCTCTCTCTTTCTAAGAAGGAAAGCAAATGACCAGATACTGGTTGAGGACACATTGATTTGCCAGATATCCAATAATAGATACAGTTATCAAACATAACTCTTTCCATGTTTTAAAAATTAGTCTCGGAAACTACAGCAAATATTATGTGTGATTTACTTTACAAGAAAATGATAAGATGTACCTGCACTAAACTTTGGATGCCAATGTCATTTATAAACATATTTATAACTAGAAATTTCCTTTGGGATCAGATTAGTATCATCAGAAGCATGTGGAAATCTTTTAAATATCAATATATGTCAACCTCATCTCTCCAAATTCTGATTATTCAATTTATTCACAGTGGGGGCCTGACCTATGTTTTTTCAAAAAGTACTTGAGTTATTGTAAAGCACACTCGGAATTGAAAACCACTGATAACCCAAAGTTTTCACAGATGAAGGAGTGTTTTAGTTACCTATGCAGAACATGTTACCTAAGGTAGGTGCTTAACACAACAGACATTATCTCATAGTCCTGTGGATTCAGAGTCCGGGCACAGCTTAGCTAGTCCCTCTGCACAGAGATACCTACTACTACAAGCAAGGGGTTGGCCAGGCTGCCTTCTCTTCTGAAGTTTGGAGTCTTCTTCAAATCTCTTGTTGTTGTTGGCCTAATTCAATTTCTTGCAGTTATAGGACTGAGGTCCCATTTCTCACTGGCTATCAGCCAGGGGCCACTCTGGGCTCCTAGAGGGCACTGTAGCTCCCATGAGTTTCTCATAGTTCCTCTTAGACTCTCTTACCATATGGCAGGCAGCTTACTTCTTCCAGCCTAACAAGAGACTCACAACAGTCAGCTAAGATGGAGTCATCTGTAAGGTAACACAACAAAAAAGTGACTATCCTGTTACTTTTGCCATATTCCCTTGACTAGAAACAAGTTGCAGATTCTCTCCTACATTCAAGAGGAGTGGATTATGCAAGGATTTGTCGCATTGGGAGGCAACTCAAAGTTTCACCAACTCAGATTCTAAAGCTAATTGAAGGAACATCGATTTTCTTATTCCTCTGGGTGGTCTTTCAAAAGAGAAAGCAAAAGTAAAAGGAAAATCATTCATATATAACATTCAGAGTTAAATGTAGAGTATGTGTTTCTGCATCTTAATTGAGCTCCTCATAGAATGTGAAAACACCAATTTATAGTTTGCTTATTTCCCCCTTATCATATAGGTAAAGTTACTTGTGTAAAAACACTAAATAATTAATTTACAATGAGTCTTTAGCCCTAACATATAGAAGTGGTTTGCAAAATATTAATTTCTGTTGAAGTCAGATTTTTTTGGTGAGTGCAACTACATTTTGAATAATCTACATTTATGACTTGAATCATTCAAGTGGCAAAATATTTTGTTCTGAAGGAAAATTAAGTACTTGACAAAAACCATTGATGGCAATTTGAATTCAAGGTATTTCCCCATTCCTAGCATTTTATAGCTACTTAAATATTTTTGGAGTTATCTTTCACAAATATTTGGAGGGACCTCAGGAGGAAGTTGTTATTTTAACTGACCACTGGCTAGGATAGCCTATGCAACTCTAAGACTTGGTTGATTACCATCTGTTTCTAAATCTCTAAAGTACCCTACTTTTTCATTTGGGAAGATTTTCTAATTGCTCTTTTCTCCTGTTAATTTAAGATTATTTTATCTCAACACACCAATAACAATTATGTGCATATGTTGAATGTATTTAGGAAAATATCAATTTTTATATTACAATATTAATGCATTGATATAAGATACTATTAGCAAAAATTCTTCTCTTGCCCAAAGGAATATTTCCTCAGTTCCCCAAATTTGAACCATTTTTGAGACATTGCAAACATATAGCCACATGTGTACCCACCAATCAGATATGCCAAATGTTACCATTTTGTCAAGTTCATTTTATTAACATATCCCTTTCTGGAAAGAAATATAATTTTGTAGACACAACTGACTCCTCCTTACTTCAAACATGACCTTCTCTCCTTACTAGAAGTTAACCAGGATAGAAGTAACTACTATCCAGAAGTACGTTTATACCCTCACCATGCATATTTTATACCTTCCCTCTATATAAATGTACCTATAAAAATATGTAATATTAATTTAAATGGTTTTCTATTTGAATAAATTGTAGAGATACATTTGTTAACTTGCTTTTTGTGTTCAACATTGTAAATGTGAAATTTTGCATAGTGATTTGTGAGGCTCTAGTTCATTTGCTTTGACTGTCGAAGAGTAGTATTCCATCATATAACTGTACCGTAGAACATTTATCTATTCTTCAATTGAAGGGCATCTAATTGTTTACCATTG